>NC_000003.12:171584361-171735877 GCF_000001405.40 Homo sapiens | reverse complement strand
TTTGTAGGAATCGTCTCGTGTGATTGAAAGTTTGTCTTATGTAATTCATCAAGTGAACATTTAGAGAATATTATTTCTGCAATTGGCTGCTTTTGAAACAAATTTACTTAAGTACTTACACAAAATAAGTAGGCTGGACTTAAGTATACTTCTCTGTTACTAGTTAAATATTGTTCACTGAAAGCTTTTGGAATTTTTGTTGTTATCTAAAATATCAAACATTTTTATGTATCACTGTAGGTACCAAGTATTAATCTTTACACTATTGAATTAACACATGGGGAATTTAAATGGCAAGTTAAGAGGAAATTCAAGCATTTTCAAGAATTTCACAGAGAGCTGCTCAAGTACAAAGCCTTTATCCGCATCCCCATTCCCACTAGAAGGTAACCATTTTGGAATTAATTATGCCAGTATACAAGTTGAATGGAAAGTGTATTTTGTCTGGGTGTGGTAGCTCACACCTGTAATCTCACCACTTTGGGAGGCTGAGGCAGGAGGATCAGTTGAGGTCATGAGTTTGAGACTAGCCTGTGTAACGTAGCAAGACCTCCTCCCTATAAAAAAATTAAAAATTTAGCTGGACGTGGTGGCACGTGGTGATAGTTAGTAGTTCTACCTACTCAGGAGGCTACAACAGGAGGATTGCTTGAGCCCAAGAGTTTAAAACTGCAGTGAGCATGATTGTACCACTGCACTCCATCCTGGGTGACAGAGTACATCCAATCTTTAAAATAAATAAATAAAAAGTGTATTTAATTCACAATATCGGCTAACTAGTCTATTGTTGGTAGATATTTTCAATTAAATAGTCTCTTAAAAATATGCCGTCTCATGAAAGACATACTAAAGTCATAGTCACAGAATAATCTAGTAGGTGTTTGCATTCTGTGTGTTTGTGTTTTAGACACACGTTTAGGAGGCAAAACGTCAGAGAGGAGCCTCGAGAGATGCCCAGTTTGCCCCGTTCATCTGAAAACATGATAAGAGAAGAACAATTCCTTGGTAGAAGAGTAAGTTTCTTCACTATTCTGTGGTTTTAAACCTAATTTTGCAGTGCTGTAGAAACACAGCATCTACTGAGGGGTGAAGTAGGCCTGGCTACAACTCCTCTCATCCACTCATTGATCCCCAGGCTGGTTTAGCTTTTCTGGAACTAGTTAGGCAGTCCCTTCTTTCCCCAAGCCATACAGTGCATTTTCTCAGAAGAGGAAGAGCGTTCTTGGTTAGGCCTTGACATTATGAAGAAGCTGTTCTCCCTGCTAGAATCTCCTTGGGCTTATTGTGAGTCAAAGATTGAACTCATTGTTGTGGGTTTTGAGATCTACTCTTTTAAAATAATATTTTCCATACATAAGTTTCCGTGTTTGTAATAGCCCATCTTAAATATATGTAAAATCTCATTCCTAAACTATAGATGGAGCAGTTAGGGCCTGAGAAGAGTCTGACGGAGTACAGACAGGCACAGCACTGGGACAGAAAACTCCAGAGGAGGGGCACTTCTGCCTGCTCTGCTTCCAAGATGGGTGCTGCAGAGTGTGGACAATTAATTTTTTTTACTAGAAAATGAACAAGTGTTTGTTAATTTCTGTCAGTTCTGTTTTGTAATCTGAAATGTTTATGTTCCAGAGGGAATGTTTGATTTCTCCTTTGTAGTTGTCATCTTGTTTAAAATCTTTGTAGGCATCTGGACCAAATATTTTCCAAGATACCTAGACATATAAAATTATATAGTTTTGGTTTACTGTGTGCACATGTATGAATTCAACTGAAAATGACACTTAGTGATTCAGCAAAAGCATGCTGGATTTTACATCATGGTCAATATGATTGACATATGTTGCTCCAGTGCCCCAAGCCTATATCCCTCTACTCCCCTGCTGCCTCCACACACAGTTTAGCATATTTAAAATCAGTACATTCTACTAGAAAGTCTTTTAACCTTTCTCCACCTTTGTTTCCTGAAAAGCTGTTTAAAATTTGTAGTGTATCTTTCAGTAAGTTCAGTGTTAGAATTGAAAAAAAAATGAAAGTTTTTGGTAATATCAACAAATGCTTTAAAACAACTTATAGCAAGTCCTGCTATAATAGCTATATACATATAATAGGGCTTGTCAGCAGTTTATAGAAGACCTAAGCATATGGAAAGTTAAACAGTAAGAAGATATTTAAATAATAGTTCAAGAGAAATATGGAAATAACACCTTAATGCTATTCAGGATTCCTTGCTCCATGATTATATTAATAAATAATTGAATAACTTGTAGAAGTTAAGATGAAAATGATGATCTCATCATTGTCACTACTGTTTAATTTTTAAAAATAAATATGACCATGTTAACACTTATCTAAAATATTTGCATTACAGAAACAACTGGAAGATTACTTGACAAAGATACTAAAAATGCCCATGTATAGAAACTATCATGCCACAGTAAGTACTAGTCAGTGATTTAAGTTTGGAGTAATTTTCACTATAGTAAATTGTCAGCTAAATTTTGGATCATTTTAATAACACAAGTGATTGTATCCACACCTACATTCGTCCTTGCATTAAAATAAATTAAGTGAATACAAAGTTGATTTTACAGCAAGGATCCAGTTTACAGTGGTGTGACGCTGTTTTAAAAAGTTGAGTAGAACTTAATATGTCTATAACAATAGATTTAAATGAACTTGAAATCCTGCTATAGGCTAGATTATCTAGAAATCAACCTTCTTCTCTTCTCAGGTTTCCAGGATAATGCCAAAAAGCATTTTTTAGCTACAAAGAGTAACTGTTGAGTAGTAAGTGATGAAAACAGTTGAGTGGAGTTGAATGCCTGAAGATTTTGTGGTGCGTAGGGCGATTGCCATCTGATTGGTTTGTCATGCCTGTTAAAGGCATGTCTTTTCATGTGAAAGTGAGAAGCATGAGAAAAGCTAGGAAAGAAAAAACCCTTGAGGAATCCAAGTAAAGAAAGAAGAGGCGATGGGGCTTAGATGCAGCCACAGAGATTAAGCTTGGGGTATGCAGCTGGCAAGCAGGGAGGGAGTGGGTTTTCTAGTGTCAGCAAACAAGTAGCTCTGCACTATTAAAGGTGGGGTGTTTTTAAAGGTTTAGCCTTCAATTATTCAGAGGCCTGGATAACTGAGAATGCATGGTTTATCGTATGTATGTATGCATTTGTATGAATTGTATGGTTATGGGGGCTGTATGCATCTATATTATATATGTGCAGAACTCTAGAGTTGGTGCAATTGTGATTTGTCCGCTAGTTTAGAGAATGGCATCACATAAACACATAAACTGAAACAGTAAAGACTTTAGTGTATTTTGGAGAGGATGCAAGAGCATTTGGCTCTGCGAGTTTCTCATGACAGGAGCTGCCTTCCTGCTGCCTTGCAGCACATGGTTTGGAGTCTGGTCCAAATATACATCCAGCTGTCCCATTACACACAGGTGACCTGGATCCAGGTCACTACCTGCCTCCAGCAGCAGCTTGCACTGGGGCATTCAATGGACTTGAGGGAGCTTCTATGTCTTCATAAACCTGGAGAAGGGTTTTCTCAGGAAAACAGGAATTTGGGTTGCACCAGAGGATCTCAAGAGAAGGATGATGGGAGGCAGGGGTTTCTTTTCTTCTAGGACTCAGGAACTTGTATTGTTGAAATAACAATGAATAAGGATACTACTACTATTGTTAATAAAAATGATACCTCCTGTTGTGTTGTCTGAAATCCGACATGCTATTTTCTTTAACAGACAACTATTTAAATGTGTATTAGTATCCATATGCAATAATTTTCCATTTCTTTTACTTTTCTGCCTGCCTGTGACTTTACTTTTACTATTTCTTTTGGCTGTAACCATTCTTGGTGAGTTCATTCTTCTCTTTTCATGTACTTTTCTACATTTGGGATTCTACTGTTGACTAAAGAATGTTTAGATTTAAAAAGTGTTCTTTTTAATGACTTTTCCAGTCATAAAAATATTTTCAAAGTTAGGCCATGTTGTATTTAGAAATCCCAGAGTGACCTGTAAACATTTCCTTTGGAAGGGAAAGCCTCATTAGCAACTGACTGTGAATAGATTCTCCTCTCATTTTCTTTTTTTTTTCTTTTTTGGGATGGAGTCTTGCTCTGTTTCCCAGGCTGGAGTGCAGTGGCATGATCTCGGCTCACTGCAACCGCCGCCTCCCGGGTTCAAGTGATTCCCCTGCCTCAGCCTCCCAAGTAGCTGGGACTACAGGTGGGATTACAGCAAATTTTTGTATTTTTAGTAGAGACGAGGTTTCACCATGTTGGCCAGGATGATTTCGATCCCTTGACCTTGTGATCCGCCCGCCTCTGCCTCCCAAAGTGCTGAGATTACAGGCGTGAGCCACCGTGCCCAGCCTCCCTCTCATTTTCGATGGTTACTGAGATTATTCTCTCCAACAGCTGAATTGTTCAATATGATTCAAGCATAGGATACAATTTGATATACATTAATTCTCTAACATTCTTTTTCTTTAAATGTAGTCTGGCCTAAAGACTAGATCTGTAGACCTCTGCCTCATATTTGTGAAATGAGATTGGAATTTACATGTTTTCTTCAATAATTGTGAGAAATACTAAAAAAGTATCTGTTAAAAAATGCTTTACTGTCTGTAAAAAGCATATTAAAAGTTATTTTAACATGTATATAATAAATTTATACTTTTATAAGTATAAAACAAACCTATTTTAAGTTAATTCAGGTCCATAAGCAGATAGAATCATGGATCATAGGTCAAGGGACTGAATAGGATATGTTCTTAATCTCTATAGGGCCATCCAGATCTGTATTTGGAATAAGTGTGTTTAACAAATAGCTCAAGTGATTCTTATCATCAGGAGTTTGAGAACTAAACTAAAATGCTATGATCAGCTTAGAAATGTCTTGGTAAAGTTAGACCACTTTAAAAAGTGGAGACAGGGCTGGGCGCAGTGGCTCATGCCTGCAATCCCAGCATTTTGGGAGGCCAAGGCAGGTGGATAACCTGAGGTCAGGAGTTCGAGACCAGCCTGGACAACATGGTGAAACCTCATCTCTACTAAAAATACAAACATTAGCTAGGCGTGGTGGTGGGCGCCTTTAATCCCAGCTACTTGGGAGGCTGAGACAGAAGAATCGCTTGAACCCGGGAGGCGGAGGTTGCAGCGAGCCACAGTTGCGCCACTGCACTCCAGCCTGGGTTATAGAGGAAGACTCTGCCAAAAAAAAAAAAGTGGAGATAGATTTATTATAAAGGTGTTTGTATAATAGGATTTTCCCCAAAGGAATTTGGTTTAGGGTTCTAAGCACTGACATTATTTTTCTTAAGTAGCCTCTGAAATTAGACATGGACAGTTCTTTCCTCTCACTTTTATACAGCCATTGGTTGGGTTTGTGCTCAGACCTTCTCTCCCATGATTATGAAGACTTCCTCTGCTTTTAATTCTTTTTTTTTTTTTCCTTCTTGTGGTTCTGCAAAGGAGAGCATCCTAGTGTTTTAGTGTAGTCATGATCAGACAGTTGCCTCAGAGACCATTGGTGATTTGTTCAGTTTTCTTTGCTCATTTGTAAAATGGGGACAAATGTATTTCCTCTTTACCCTAAGCATAAATATGTAAAAAAATAGCAATATCTGAGTTGTGTAATAACATACAAAAAAATCTCAAACAAGAATTCCTTTTGTATTCTGAAATTGTATTAGTGCTGGCTGTAGTAGAGAACTCACTAGCTAGGCATTTTAATTAGTAACTGGAAAATGCTTATCTTCCAGGGAATTAAAATCAGAGGAATAAGGAGCAATAAATGTACCTTTTTCATACCTGAGATTAAAATCTAGAAATGGAACAAATTGTACAATTTCCAAGAGAAGGGCCCTAAGGTGATAGGATCGTATCTCTACCTTGAAGTAAATCATTTAACTTATGTGACTCAGATTTCTTATCCCCAAGAAGGTGATTAGCTTGAAATCCTTGGGTAAAACATCCCACAGATCAATAATACTGAGTTCACCTCTCCCTTGTTTTGTAGAATGAACTTTAACTTGAGGGGAAGAGTAGGTAAAGAATAAACGTGCACACAGTGTTTTCATTCCAACAGGGAAAAGCTATACTAATTTGAACAGCTGCATCTTCAAATTAAGGGAAATATTTTCTTTCTTATGATTGAGTCTTAGCGTTGAGAAGGACTTTAGGCCTTTGCCCAGCCTCCCAGTTTCCTTCATAGATTAGATGTCCTCTTTGTTCCCTGCCTTTCCTGGAGTACCTGAGTCTACAAGGACATTGCCCAACTCAATGCTCTTACCTTCCTTGTATCTGATAATTTCCCACCTGGCCATTTACTTGAGTTTTTGCTACCTGGTAAATAAAAGGAGCCTCTGAAAGTCACCCTTCTCTTACAATACAAGGATGGGTGGAAGGGGCAGTGTGTACGTGATTGCCAAGTAATTTTCAGGATTTTTTGTTACCCCTAGGGCTTGTTGCTTGTCTCTTGGCATGGAAATATTTTTGCTTCTCTGTTTCTCTAACGTTTTTAGTATCCAATTGGTAGATCATGTTGGAATTTTTTACTTGAGACCACTTTCCACCTAGTGCCAAGAACATTATTGCATTGCAACATTATTTCAATTGTATTCATATTTTACAAATTCCTTTGCCAAAAAAACAAAGACAAAAAGGTATTGATTATACATTACTCAAAAGATCAATGGAATAAGCCCTGCGAAATGCCGTTAGGCTAAATTGATCTTTAAATTCTTATTCCTGAGAATCACTTGCCCAAATGGATAATGGAATTCTTATCACTGAAGATGTACTAAGAAGTTTGGACAACATCATCTTTGTTAAATTTCAATTTTTATTAGTTAGGTTTGCCTCTCAGTTGACCCTGACACATTTACTTTCAATTTGATAACTCTGTATTAGAAAAACGTTTATTGCCAGATTTTTTTTTCTGTATAATAGGCCTGGTTCCTTCTGGAAATCTCTCTCCAGTCAAACTTTACTAAGCCATTAGGATAAATTAAATTTCATATTAATGTGTAACTTTCAATTTTCTACATTATTAATGTGTCTACTTAGCTGAGATTCTTTACGCTTAGCAATTTTGTTATGATATACTCCAAAAGTTATGATTTCTGAATGATTTCAGAGAATATTTCTGTTGTCAACTATTTGATGATAACAGCTATGTAAATAAGAAAATATCCAGGCATTAGATTAGTGGCTTCCTTGATTTTTGTTTTCATTTCCTATTCTTCCCTTCGGTTGTTCTGGGACTTTGCATAAGTTAGTTATGCCTCTGTAGTAGACTATAGTCTTCAAATGTAAACTAGGACTGACATTATTTGTCTGCTCTCCAGAGATAAAAGTTATGACTCAGGATTTTAAAATATTTTGGATTTTATGGCTGGCAATCTGTGAATCATTTCCAATAACCCATAGGATTACCTTTTCCAATTAAGAAGCATTTTCACAAACCAGATAAAAATGCATGATACTGAATCACTGTTTTATATAAGAAATGAAATGTAAAGACCTTGAGGTGTTTTTTGTTTGTTTGTTTGTTTTTGAGACAGTCCTGCTGTGTTGCCCAGGCTGGAGTGCAGGGGCACGATCTCCGCTCACTGCAACCTCTGCCTCCCGGGTTCAAGTGATTCTCCTGCCTCAGCCTCTGCCTCCTGAGTAGCTGGGATTACGGGCATGCACCACCACACCTGGCTAATTTTTGTATTTTTAGTAGAGATGGGGTTTTGCCATGTTGGCCAGGCTGGTCTTGAACTCTTGACCTCAAGTGATCCACCCACCTCAGCCTTCCAAAATGCTGGGATTACAGGCGTGAGCCACTATGCCTGACTGAGACCTTGACTTTTTAAATTCTCAATTTAAAAAATGCTGTATGAAGATACCTTTGACTTAGGATTTTAAAAAGATATTTAAGTCCTTTTGAATTTTAAAGACCTATTTTCTGCAAATAACCCCAAGAAAAGAGAAAAATGCAAGCATTTAAATGAACCTTACAAGGATGGACGCCTTGAGATATTTGTAATTTTTTTTTACAAGAGTAGTGTTAGATATGTCCAATCACATATAAAACTTACATGGAAAACTTTTGTTTTACTAATCCCATTTACAAACCTAGATCAAATGCCCCTGCCTCTGTGATGTCATGTCAGCTGGGAAGTGGTTGCCCTCCACTATTCTATAACTCTGTAACTACTTTCACATGTATCTAGTGTGGTTCATCCCACAGAACTTCATTGAGGGTAGTGTTTTCCATATCTGGTCTCCCGTCTGCTTCCTAATGCTGGGAGAGTATCTTTTTAGTCTTTGTTGGTCTATCAAGGCTGCTATTGACATGGCCTAAGGAACTGATCTTATTGTTGGTCACTTTTCAAAACGATCTGCAAATCTGCATATGCTAAACATTATGTAATGTTGATTTGTTTTTCCCTTCTATGCCTCCACATTTACATCTAGCTTTCACCTACCTAGAATATGCAAGGAACTCAATTTGAATTAGATAAATGTTGAATGACATTTTGCTCTTCCAGCTTGGTTTTGAGGGCGCTGACTTTGGTCTGACTTCATAATGAGTTAACCATACTGAGTTAATCCCTTCTTAACTATGTGATCTTGGACAACTTACTTGACTTCTCTAAAACAGAGGCCTGCAAACTAGGGCCCGTGGACCAAATCCTGCCCATTGCCCATTGCCTGTTTTTGTATGTTCTGTGAACTAAGAATAGTTTTTATATTTTTAAGTGGTTGAAAAAAAATCAAAAGAATAATATTTTGTGACACATAAAATTAGATTATCTTCATATTTTATATCCATAAATAAGGTTTTATTGGAACACAGCCACAGTTATTCGTTTATGTATGCGTCTATGGCTATTTCCGTGCTACAACAGCAGAGCGAAGTAGATGCAAAATGGAATGTATGCCCACAAAGCCCAAAATATTTACTGTCTGGCTCTTTGCAGAAAATATTTGCTTACCCTTACACTAAACCTCAGTTTCGTCTTCTGTACAATGGGAAAAGTAGCACCTGCTTCAAAGGGGTTTGAGATAATGCATGAAAAATGGTTAGCATAACACCAACTCATAGTTAGCACTCAGTAAACACAGCCACAGTTGTTGTTATAATATTTACAGTTTTTAACCTTCTAATACAGTGAAGGTGGGCCTAAAATTCTCTTCCTCTTCAACTCATTAAAAATAATTCTTTTCATTATGCCTGATGTTCAAAGCCCTCCCCATTCTCTTTTCAGCCTGTTTAATTTTTTATTCTTTTCCTTCATCTTATTCACTGTAACCCAACTGTACATCCTATAACCTTTTTGACCTTCTGTTCTAGCCCCCCATTCATCTCCCATTTCACACTGTGGGCCCAAATCCAGTCCATCTTCCAGATCCTGCACCAATATCACTTGCTTCTCACATTCTTTTATTGTTTGAGTGTACACTGTGCCACACAATATCCATCCCGTGCAACAAAAACAAACATGAAAGAATATTGAGAATAAACTCTCTCTCTCTCTCTCTCCAAGCTTCTTGAGCATTTTATCTCTATGTATTAAGGCACACATCTCTCTCTTCAGATTTAGAAGATCTAGTAGGATGTGTCTTCATTGTTTATATACTCCTAATCTGCACTCTTTTAGTGCAATGCCATTATTATTGATCTGTGTAGTCTGTGGAGCACACCAAACAGTATATACACACAGCTATACCTAATACATGTTTTTTAATGCATAAATTTGAATTGTTTTGCTTGCTAAAGATGGATTTTTTGCTTCTTTTCAGACAGAGTTTCTTGATATAAGCCAGCTGTCTTTCATCCATGATTTGGGACCAAAGGGCATGTAAGTTGCAATAAACCTTAAAAGAGAAGTATGAAAAATTGATTTGCATTCACACTTAACGTAGCAGCATGCCATGGTGATGGAGTCCTCCTGGCTTTACTGCTAGCTTCTCTTCTCCCCAGTAGTTAGAGCAACTGATGGAATTATTCATACAAATCAGAGCATCTCCTGTGATAAACAACGGTAGCAACTGCTCCACTGTCTTTGTCACGTGCTTACAGCACAGATTCTTTCTAACCCAACAGTGGAAGTGTTCAATACCTATAGCAAGTCTGATGTGTAGGAGAATACATTAAAAATCAAATATATAAGATCTCCTTTTACAATCCCTTATAAAGTTAAATGTTTACTACTCATTTTGATGATTATTTTAAAATAATACTATGTAAAATATGTTTTATAGCCAGATGAAAGTTTATAATTTTCCTTCACAATATTAGAGCTTGAAAACATAAAGAGCTTAACTTTCAAGTTCTAGTTAAGAGCATTGTTAGTAGTTGTTTCAAAAAAAGTTTTTTTTAAAGTTTAGCCTTTGTTATTGCTTTTTCTTGTCAAATTTTTCAGAATTAAGATATACTGTTTTCAAAACTAGTAGCTGTGCTCTGCTTCCTTTGGCATGGCTCAACTAGCTCAACTAGTTTGCTAGAACTGGGTGTGAAGAGACACAGAGATGTCCTGGAATCTGTGGGTGAGATGCACCATGGTCTCAACAGCAGGTGGACCATCCCTGTGCAGGCATGTGGAAATGCATGGAGTCTTTTTTAGTTTGTCACAGTGTCACAATGTTGAGGAGGGAACACTCAACATTTTTTTATATTTATATATATTTATTATACTTTAAGTTCTAGGGTACATGTGCACAACGTGCGGGTTTGTTACATATGTATACATGTGCCATGTTGGTGTGCTGCACCCATTAATGACGAGTTAACGGGAACACTCAACATTTAGAGCCAGGAGACAGGATGCTTAAGGTCCTGTGTAGTGCACAACAGAATCACACTGCCCCGAATGCTGAAGGGGCTATATCTCACCAGTGTATTTTAGGGTTCGCCTCTAGGGTACCCGGCCTAACAGGGCACTGAGCTAGTTGAGAGCGAGGAGGAGAGAGTAGGGAGGAAAGTCATGTGAGAATGAGATGGTTTATTTAGTCCCATGTTGGGAGGCTGTACGAGCTAAGTGGGAGTGGGAAATTTGAAGGTGATGGGTTAATTTTCTGTCTCTTTCAGAGAAGGTATGATAATGAAAAGATCTGGAGGACACAGAATACCAGGCTTGAATTGCTGTGGTCAGGGAAGAGCCTGCTACAGATGGTCAAAAAGGTAGGAATTAGTGAGTTTTGTGTATTTGTTTGTTTTAATACACTGGGTATTTGGGCTAGTTTTACATACCAGTTTTAAATTATAAATCCTTTAAAAGCAATGGCAGAACAAATTTTTAATTATATTTTAAAATCCAAATTCCAGCATCCATTTAAATATTCTACCCAAAGCTGAACTTGTAGGCAAAGTGTACAGATTATATTCATGAAAACCCAAGGACAAAGAACGCACAAATTGGCCAGCCAAAGAAGACGTACAAATGGCCAATAAGTATACGAAAAGATGCTCAACGTTATTAGTCATTATGGAAATGTAAGTCAAATCCACAATGAGATACAATTTCACACCCATAAGGATGGCTATAATCAAAGAGATGGACAATAACAAATGGTGGTGAGGGTGTAGAGAAACTAGAATATTTTCTGTAGAGAAACCGCAGATATTGTTAATGGAAATGTAAAATGGTGCAGCCACTTTGGAAAACAGTCTGGCAGTTCTTTAAACTGTTAAACATAGTTACCACATGTCCCAGCAATTCCAGGGATTCACCTAGGAGAACTGAAAAAATATGTCTACAATAGAACTTTTCTATAGCAGTATTATAATAGCAGTATTATGGATAATAGCCTTACAAGTGGAAACAATTCTAATGTTCATCAATTGATGAATGGATAAACAAAATGTGGTATTCCTATAGAGTGGAATATTATCCAGCCATAAAAGGAATAAATCACATCAAGTTAAAAAGCTTCTGCACAGCAAAGGAAACAGTCAACAAAGTGAAGAGATAAACCACAGAATGGGAGAAAATACCTACAAACTACCTATCTGATAAGGGATTAACAACCAGAAAGAACTCTATAGGAAAAAAATCTAATAATCTGATTTAAAAATGGACAAAAGATCTGAATATACGTTTCTTGAAAGAAAACATACCAATGGCAAACAGGTGTATGAAAAGGTGCTCAATATCATTGATCATCAGAGAAATGCAAATGAAAACTACAATGAGATATCATCTCACCCCAGTTAAAATGGCTTTTATCAAAAAGACAGGCAATAACATACTGGTGAGGATGTGGAGAAAAGGGAACCCTCATACACTGTTGATGGGAATGTAAATTAGTACGACGACTACGGAGAACAGTTTGGAGGTTCCTCAAAAAACTCAAAATAGAGCTACCATATGATCTAGCAGTTCCACGTCTAGGTATATACCCAAAAGAAGGAAATCAGTATATCAAAGATATATCTGCACTTCCATCTGTGTTGAAGCACTATTCACAATAGCCAAGATTTGGAAGCAACCCAGGTGTTCATCAACAGATGAATGGATAAAGAAAATGTACATACACATGATGGGGTACTATCCAGCCATAGAAAAGAATGAGATCCCGTCATTGCAACATGGATGGATCTAGAGGTCATTATGTTTAGTTAAATAAGCCAGGCACAGAAAGACAATCTTCACATGTTCTCAGTTACTAGTAGGAGCTAAAAATTAAAACAACTGAACTCATGGAGATTTTATCAGAGGCTGGGAAAGGCAGTGTGGAGGGGGATAGTGGGGATGGTTAATGGATACAAACAAATAGGATAATTAAGATCTAGTATTTGATAGCACAACAGGTGACTATAGTCAATACTAATTTAATTGTATGTTTTACAATAACTATAAAAGAGTATGAGTTGTTTGTAACATAAAGGATAATGCTTGAGGTGATGGATACCCCATTTATCCTGATGTTATTATTACACATTATATGCTTGTATCAAAGTATCTCATATACCCCATAAATATATAAACCTACTATGTACCCACAGAAATTAAAAATACATTAAAAAAAGAGAAATGAAGACCATTCATGGTCATGGAGTTTCTTTATGGGGTGATGAAAATATTCTGAAATAAGACGGTAGTGCCGGTTGCACAACTCTGTCAATATGCTAAAAACCATCGCATTGTGAACTTTTAAAAGGTACGTTTTATGATATGTGAATTACATCTGAATAAAAATCTAAAAATTAAATGGAAAAGGATATGAAGTTCTGATACATGCTACAATGTGGATGAACCTTGAAAACAGGATAAATGAAAACATCCAGATACAAAAAGGCACATGTTTTATCATTCTTATTTATAAGAAATTTTCAGAATAGACAAATCTGTAGAGACGGAAGTAGATAAAGGGTTTCCAGGGAATGGGAAGGAGGTTGCTTTCTACTAATTTGATACTGGTATGGGGTTTATTTTTGGGCCAATGAAGATATTTTGGAACTAGATAGTGGTGATGGTTATACAACTTTGTGAATATACCAAAAATCAAACTGAACTGTACACTTTAACAAAAACTTAAGTAAAATTGTGCAGACTTCAGGGATGATAATTTTACACTTATATTTCTGAAAAATGTTTATCATGGTAAGCGTAATATAGACAGAAAACATTATTTTATATCTTACGTCTTACCAACTAAAAACTCCTTGAGGAACAATATTCTCATCTGATTCTTATCTGTATCCCCCAAGTTTGGCACATAATAGACAGTAACTGTTGCAATAACAATGTACTGGGATTTTGAAAAACTATTAAAACACTGAAGAAATCAATTATAAATATTTTATATCTGTATATAATATTTCCCCCAAATTGAAAATGATAAATGTGTTTATGTTTAAATGTGGAATTGAGCTATGTGTATATTCAAAATATATAAAATTAATACTGGCATCCACCTTTACACACACCGATTTAAGATATACTACCAACAAAAAAATACCATTAAGCTGGGCCTTTACTTTCTGGGATTTGAAGGGACAGAAGAAATTACAAGGAAAAGATCAGAAGATTAAACTAAAGAAAACTGAAAATTTTTGTAAGGGAAAAAAGTTTTTTTTCTTTTTTTTTTTCTGAGATGGAGTCTTGATCTGTCGCTGGGAGAGAAGTTTTACTAAAATAAGAAGGGAAATAATATACTAAAAAAAGTATTTGCCTTCAAATACACTTCTCTAACTTTTAGAAACTTGGGGATTCCTTCTGACCACTCCTCCCTAGTCGTTAACTTTGCCCAAATCAGCTGCTACATGCCAACCACAGTTTTCAGACTGTAACCTTAAGCATTTGTGATTCTTTGACCAAAAATTCTGTAGGCTGTCAGAACCCACCTGTCTGTGTGCACAGCAGTCTGGGAAGTGTCAACAGCTCCCAGGAGCAGCCATCAGCCAAGAACTGATCGGAGTCCAGCCCCATCCTCCTCAGTTGGGGTGACTCTGCAGCAGTCTCTACACTGTCTCCCAGAACTCCTTAGCTGGCTTACAGCACAGCTGCCCACAATAAAAAGCATGAAAATACACTCTCTGTGGCTTCCTTCCTTGCTCTTTCTTTCTATCCTTCCCTAATTGGTGCTTCCTGGTGCCACTGTCTTAAACTCTTTTATACACGTATATCCGTATCTCAGAGTTTACTTCTGGGACAACCCAACCTAAGGCGTCTACTCAAGGAATGGAAGCCATGGTCTGGTTTATTCAGTCATTTTTCGAGTGCCTAATGTATGCCAGATGGTGGCATACTCCTGTGAAAACAGTAGTGAACAAGATGAAGTCTCTGCCCTCATGGAGTTCTGTTAGAGGGGAAATGCAGGCACTAAGCCGACAATTAATGTAAATTGTATAAATTCAGGTAGCGATGAGAGCTTTAAAGGGGAAAAATGGTTTGTGAGGGATCTGGGGATTGCAGAGGGTGACTTTAGCTCTGGGAGTCAAGGAAAGGCTCCCTGAAAAACTGACGTTTGGATTTAACCCTTATGAGAAGCAACAGCTAGGAAAGGTGAGGGAAAGGCTTTGTTACACAAAATAAATATGCCCCCTCTTTTTAAACTTTGGATTAAATCATAAGTCAACTGGGACAATCTAAAAAGATACGATCCTCCCTGGAATGAAATGTGTCATCACTGTAAATTGTGTAAATCATTCTGTGAAGATTAAAGCCCTGGTTCCATATTAATAAATATTTCCTGAGTCACATTTTTGGGATTTAAAATACCAGAAAGCATATATAGATGATAACATATAATTTAGAAAGTTTCTCACAGTGGAAGACTTTTTTTTTTTTTTGAGACGGAGTCTTGCTCTGTCGCCTAGGCTGGAGTGCAGCGGCCTGATCTCCGCTCACTGCAAGCTCCGCCTCCCAGATTCATGCCGTTCTCCTGCCTCAGGCTCTCCGAGTAGCTGGGACTACAGGCGCCCGGCATGACGCCCGGCTAATTTTTTGTATTTTTAGTAGAGACGGGGTTTCACTGTGGTCTCAATCTCCTAACCTCGTGATCCGCCCGCCTCGGCTCCCAAAGTGTTGGGATTACAAGCGTGAGCCACCGCGCCCGGCCTTTTTTTTTTTTTTTTTTTTGAGACAGGGTCTCACCTTGTCACCAAGGCTGGAGTGCAGTGGTATGATCTCGGCTCACTGCAGCCTCGACCTCCTGAGCTCAAGCGATCCTCCCACCTCAGCCCCCTAGATAGCAGGGATACAGGTGCATACCACCGCACCTGGATAAATTTTGTATTTTTTGTAAAGATGGGGTTTTACCATATTGCCCAGGCTGGTCTTGAACTCCTGAGCTCAAGTGATCTGCCCACCTTGGCCTTCCAAAGTGCTGGGATTACAGGCGGGAGGCACAGCACCTGGCCAAGACGACTATTTTATTAATGTCTAAATGAGACTTACTTTTAAAGATGACACTCCTTCATAACTTTTTTTCATTTGTACCCATAAAAATACATTCTGATCACTTGTTAATTTATTCTACGTTGACAAATTGTAGTAAGGCAAACAAGGAAATTGAATTTTCAGTTAGGTCTCATAATGACC
This sequence comes from Homo sapiens, assembly GCF_000001405.40. NCBI lineage: Eukaryota > Metazoa > Chordata > Mammalia > Primates > Hominidae > Homo > Homo sapiens. The sequence goes on along the minus strand of NC_000003.12, from coordinate 171,719,831 downwards.
TTATCTGAGAGATGAGTTTTAAAAAAAGACAAACAGAGATCCTACAATCTAAAACATCTGCTTAAACAGCACATTTATTGAGAAACTTCTCTGCACCTGGTCGTAAGTTAAGTTTCTTATGTCAAATAATGTCTTAAGAAAAAGAGATGTATAGACGTTAACAAATAAATTTAGCATTTATTAGGGTGGTACAAAAGTAATTGTGGTTTTTGCCATTACTTTTAATTCCTTAGCACTTTCTTACTTAGTGTTTACTTTAGTGAACTATGAGCTGTGCCAATAATTAAAATTTTTAGACAGTGATAGTGTCTAAATGGTTTTATTTACTCTCTGGAATCCATTCATGCAGCCATTATTTAGGCGAGATGGTGGCCTTGCCTGAAAGCTTGCTCTGGGCTGCTAGAAGATAGTTCTAGGCATTGAACAGATAGTAGTAGACATGACAGCCACATTTCCTGTTCCCAGGGACCTTACGCTGTACTGTAGGAGACAGACAATAAACAAGAAGACAAATACTTCCAGATGTGCTACAAAGAAGCTAAATCAAGACAACATGATGGAGGAGAGTTGGGGGTGATGAGGCAGGGATGGTGGAGAACAGCTTTTTTTTGAATCCAGTAGCCTGCTTGTAGAGGGATTTTTAAGGAGAGGTTTGATTGACAAGAAGAGACCATCCATGGAATTGCCTAGAAGAAACAGTTTTTACGCAGAGGAACAGCAACGATAGAGCCCAAAGAAGAAGACTGGCAAGTCTAAAGAAGAACCAACATTGACTAACATTGTGAGAGACAATAGTAGATGAGGCTGAGAAGGGGAGGGCTGGCTCAAGTGGGCTTATCTGCATTTGAATGCCATGGCAAGTAGTAACACAGGCAGGAGGTATCTTTTTAAAACAGACGGTAATCTCACATGGTTTAGAACAAGATTAGTTATAATAGTTCGCATGTATTGGGGCCAGGCACTGTGCTAAGCATGTGCATGAGTTATCTCAGTTAATTCTTTATGAATACTTATGAACTAGATGTTGCTGTTAGGTCCTCATGTTATATGTCTTATGTTATCCTCATGTTATAGATTTTGACATCATGCTCAATTACTGAAGTTCTTACAAGCAGTGAGTGGCAGGTGGAATTGGAGCCCAGGGAGGCTGACTTCAGGGCAGGCACTTGATCCCTGTGCAGATGGTGCTGACTCCTAGAAGGCTGGTTGATAGATGCCTTACTTGATTTATATATTCCTGAGAAAGAAAGCAAAATCTTGTTGAGATGCTCTGCATCTATGTTCATAAAGGATATTGGCCTGAAGTCTCCTCTTTTTGTTGTGTCTCTGCCAGGTTTTGGTGTTAGGATGATGCTGGCCTCATAGAATGAGTCGGGTAGTAGTTCTTCCTCCTCAATTGTTTAGAGTAGTTTCAGTAGGAACGGTACTAGCTCTTCTTTGTACGTCTTATAGAATTTGAGTGTGAATCCGCCTGGTCCTGGGCTTTTTGTCTTTGTTTTTGTATTTTGGTTGGTAGGCTATTTATTACTGATTCTAATTCAGAGCTGATTATTGGTCCACTTAAGGATTCAGTCTCTTCCTGGTTCAGTCTTGAGGGGGATGTATGTGTCTGGGAATTTATCTGTTTCTTGTAGATTTTCTAGTTTATGTGCATAGAGTTGTTCATAGTAGTCTCTGACAGTTACTTGTATTTCTGTGGGATCAATGGTAATGTCCTCTTTGTCATTTCTAATTGTGTTTATTTGAATCTTCTCTGTTTGGTTTTGAATCTTCTCTATATGGTTCAACATATGCAAATTGATAAATGTGATTCATCACATAAACAGAACTAAAGATAAAAACTACCTGATTATCTCAATAGATGCAGGAAAGACTTTTGATAGAATTCAACATCCTTCATTTTAACAACCCTCAATAAACTACACATTGAAGGAACATACTCCAAAATAATAAGAGCCATCTATGACAAACCCACAGCCAACATCATACTGACTGGACAAGAGCTGGAAGTATTCCCCTTGAAAACTGGCCCAAGACAAGGATGCCCTCTCTCACCACTCCTATTCAACATAGTATTGGAAGTCCTGGCCAGAGCAATGAGGCAAGAGAAAGAAATAAAAGGCATCCAAATAGCAAAAGAGGAAGTCAAACTATTCCTATTTGCAGATGACATGATTCTATATCTAGAAAACTCCACAGTCTTTGCCCAAAAACTCCTTGAGCTGATATACATCTTCAGCAATGTTTCAGGATACAAAATCAATGTAGAAAAATCACTAGCATTTCTATACACCAACAACAATCAAGCCAATTGTGAATGGAATTGCTTTCCAGTCAAATCAGGGAGGCAACCCCATTCACAATTTCCACAAAAAGAATAAAATACCTAGGAATTCAGCTGACTAGGGAGGTGAAAGATCTCTACAATGAGAATTACAAAATACTGCTCAAAGAAATGAGAGGTGACACAAACAAATGGAAAATATTCCATGTTCATGGATAGGAAGAAACAATATCATTAAAATGGCCATACTGCCTAAAGCAATCTACAGATTCAATGCTATTCCCACCAAACTACCAATAACATTCTTCACAAAACTAGAAAAAACTATTTTAAAATTCAAATGGAACCAACAAAGAGCCTGAATAGCCAAGGCAATGCCAAGCAAAAAGAACAAAGCTGGAGACATCATGTTACGTGACTCCAAACTACACTACAGGGCAACAGTAACCAATACAGTACAGTACTGGTACGAAAACAGACACATAGACCAATGGAACAGAATTATAGAGCCCAGAAATAATACTGCACACCTACAACCATCTGATCTTCAACAAAGCTGACAAAAACAAGCAATGGGAAAAGGACTTCCTCCTTAATAAATGATGCTGGGATAACTGGCTAGCCATGTGCAGAAGATTGAAACTGGACCCCTTAGAAACTTAAATGTAAAACCTAAAACTATAAAAACCCTGGAAGACAACCTAGGAAATACCATTCTGGACATTGGAACGGGCAAATATTTAATGATGAAGACACCAAAAGTAATTGCAACAAAATCAAAAATTGGCGAATGGAATCTAATTAAACTAAAGAGCTTCTGCACAGCAAAAGAAACTATCAACAGAGTAGACAGACAACCTACAGAATGGGAGAAAATATTTGCAAGCTGTGCTTCTGACAAAGACCTAATAGCCAGTATCTATAAGGAATTTAAACAAATTTACAAGCAAAAAAACAAAAAATTCCATTAAAAAGTGGGCAAAGGACATGAACAGACACTTTTCAAAAGAAGACATACATATGGCCAAGAAACATTTGAAAAAATGCTTAACATCACTGATCATTAGAGAAATGCAAATCAAAACCACAATGAGATATCATCTCACACCAGCCAGAATGGCTATTAAAAAACAAACAAACAAATAAACAGATGCTGACGAGGTTTCAGAGAAAAGGAAATGCTTATATGCTGCTGGTTGGAGCGTAAATTAGTTCAGCCATTGTGGAAAGCAGTGTGATGATTCCCCAAAGAACTAAGAACAGTATTACCATTTAACCCAGCAATTCCATTATTGGATATATACCCAGAGGACTATAACCATTCTACTGTAAAGACTCAGTGCATGTGTATTTTCACTGCAGCACAATTTACAATAGCAAAGACATGGAATCAACCTAAATACCCATCTGTAGTAGACTGGATAGTACATGTACACCACAGCATATGAAATCATGTACTTTGCAGCAACATGGATGGAGCTGGAGGCCATTGTCCTTAGCAAACTAACACAGGAACAGGAAACCCAATACCACCTGTTCTCACTTATAACTGGGAGCTAAATAACGAGAACTCATGGACACAAAGACGGCAACAACAGATACTAGGGCCTACTTGAGGGTGGGGGGTGGGAGGAGGGAAAGGATCAGAAAAAAATGCCTGTCAGGTACTATGCTTAGTACCTGGGTGACAAAGCAATCTGTACACCAAACCCCTGTGACACAAGTTTCCCTATGTAACAAACCTGTATGTGTACCTCTGAACCCAAAGTAAAAGTTAAAAGAAAAAAATATATCTATTGACAAAAAAGAAAAAGGGAAGAAATCAGAGGAGTTTTTATGAATGGCATAATAAAGAAGAGCTTTCAATAAAAGCCCAGCATCAAATTACCTTGATATCTAATGACTAGTAAAAAGAACAACTACAAGACACAGATGAAAAAAAAACTGAAGAGGATCAGAAGAATTAATACTGTTAAAATGACCATACTATCCAAAGCAATCTACAGATTCAGTGCAACCCTATCAAAATACTAATGACATTTTCACAGAAATAGAAAAAACAATCCTAAAATTCACATAAAACAACAAAAGACCCTGAACAGCCAAAGCAATCCTGAGCAAAAAACAAAAACAAAAAACAAACCAAAGCTAGAGGCATTACACTACCTGACTTCAAAATATATTACAAAGCTATAGTAACCAAAACAGTATGGTATTGGTATAAAAACAGACACATGACCAGTAGAACAGAATAGAGAACTCAGATATTAATCCATGTATCTACAGCCTACTGATTTTTCCGAGGGCATCAAGAACATTCTTTGGGGAAAGTGCACACTCTTCAGTAAACAGTGCTGGGAAAACGGGGTTACCCTTTGATATCATAGCCTTGGTATTCGTATTGAGGAGTGTTATAAGAACTCTTATAAAATGTATAATTTCTGTGTTTGCTTTGAAAATTGTTATTGGGAATATTATTCATTATGTTGTTCAGTTGTATCATGTTAGGTCCCAAATGAGAAACTTTGTTTGGAATTTAGTTTTGGAGGAAATCCACTTATTTCTTTAATTTATTCATTTGACAAGAAAAACTAGGAAGCTTACACCCACATGAGTGTGTCATCTCTGTAATTATATTTACCTTTGTGGTTAGGTATTTTAGGTATTTACTTTCTGTGACCTTGACGTTTTTCCTTTTCTGAACCATACCACATATGTTCTTTGCTATAAGTTATCCTAAATCCACTCTATGCCCTTTTATTAGGAAGGAGATAACTTATGTATTAAAAAAAAATTAATGAAATGAAACTATGTGGAAATCAATGTAGGTCTGTCTACATTAAATTCCAAGTTATAAAGCCATTAAAACATAATGCAATTCCCAATTTCAGTAAAGATTTATTATAGATATATTTTAAATACTGAGTTCCCATGCTATATTTACAGTATTACTTAGTTTATATTCAGATGTTCCAACCTTACTATTCCATAATGTGGAAGTGCCTAGAGTGCTTTACTTTGTCTGGTATGCACTATTATGCCCACTTTGTTACTTCTCAGTTTTCAAATGATTCAGTCTATCACTCTACAATTGCAGGCAAATAGGAATACATGTTGTTATATGCAGCCTGATGAAGTTACCATTTGCATTCACTGTAAATGGATCCCATCTCCTCAGTCTTGCCCTTCCTGTCGTACATCCTGTGAGTGCTACCTGCCAATATTAGGGACATTCCTCCAGTTTTGCCATTAGTGTTTAAAGAGCTAATGAATTACTGTGAATTACTTGGTACACTGTTTCTTAGAAAAACGTAATAGAAAGGTTTTGTTGGGTTTTTTTTGTTTGTTTCATAGCGATTAAAAAAAATAAATCTCCTGTGTAGAAAATGTAATTATGTCTACAGTCTGCCAGAGTGATTACTTAAGACTTGTCATAATGATTAGTTCTTCTCGTTTTATTTACTCAATGCAACTTTTAAAAATACTTACTACCTTCTTACAGATGGTTAATAGTGAAAGATTCCTTTTTATTGTATATGAAACCAGACAGCGGTGCCATTGCCTTCGTCCTGCTGGTAGACAAAGAATTCAAAATTAAGGTGGGGAAGAAGGAGACAGAAACGAAATATGGAATCCGAATTGATAATCTTTCAAGGTACACATTTCAAATATTTAAAAAAGATTTCTACAAAAATGCCTTAAAAACATTTTTTTCTCAACCTTAAGTAAAAAAGGAGTTTAAAAAGTGTTAGAAAATTGTAATTTAGAGCTCATCCTCAATCAATAGTAATGAAACCACTTTTTTCCTTGTATATATTTTAAAGAGTATCCTGTGTGCAACAGTCTGAATAAACAATCCCATATGTAGATGTTTGCCTATGTTAACAGAAATTACTACTCAATTTGCCAGTTTACTAAACAGATAGATTAGAGCAATAGTTCACATTTTTAAAATAAATGAAACTTTTACTTTATAAATCAATATTCTTTAATTAACAAAACACCAAAAGAGTGATTTGTTTTATAAAAATTGTTACACACATATTTTAAGAAAGATATCTTCTTTTTCTCTGAGACAGGCTCTCACTCTGTCACCCAGACTGGAGTGCAGTGGTGCAATCTCTGCTCACTGCAACCTTCACTCACTGAAACTCTATCTTTCAGGTTCAAGCGATTCTCCCACTTCAGCCTCCTGAGTAGCTGGGACTACAGGCGCCTGCCACCACCCCCGACTAAAGTTTGTATTTTTTGATAGAGACGGGGTTTCACCATGTTTGCCAGGCTGGTCTCGAACTCCTGACCTCAAGTGATCTGTCTGCCTCGGCCTTCCACAGTGCTGGGATAACAGGCCTGAGCCACTCCGCCTGGCCAAGAAAGATATCTTGAAAGGACACTCATGTACATTTATTATAGATTTTATTAGTGAGTACATGTGTATGTGATCTTTCTGGAAGATTGTAGTTATACCATGTATGTGTGTCTTTATACATATATATCCATTTGTCTCTGTATAGTTCATTCACCATCATGTATATGAATATATATGCATTTCTCCCTGTGCACATAGTTACCAACATAGCTTCATATTCCCTTACTGATTTACATGTTTGTGTGTGTATGTGTGTGTGTGTATAAAAAGATGCTGACCTTCCTGATGATATTCTATGAGAATGGAACATTTAAGATTGTGACTGGAAATATAATGGTGCTGCCATTACACCTTCCTCCTGCATTCCTGTTTTACAGTGAGCCACAGAAGTCTGGCCACAGTTCTCACTGGTCCCTTACTTTATTGGCCACTTCATCTGCATTTCCCACCCTCACTTACCCGTATGTCATTGCCAAATGAGGCCATTCACATCCAGGTTTCATTACCTTCCTTCCTGGTGTAAGATCCCCCCCATGATTTTATCAAATAAGGCCAAATTCCCCCACTTATTTTTGAAGGGCATTTATTTTCCTGCCTTTATTTGAAATTCCTCCCTAATACGCCTTGCAGGTTCTATGAAGGCAGCATTTTTTTCTTGCCTCTTTCCCTTTGCTTTTCTTATGTCCATGTTTGGAATAGTTCTTGTTTTCCCCCTTGATACTGACTCACATCCTGTGATAATGTCTTATCTTGTTACTCATCTCTTCTGTAAAGTCTTCTCATAACTGTTTTTCCGAGGCTTTTTAGCTCAATTGGAGTAGTGCTTGCAGGATAGGTCAAGCCCAGGCACCTCCTGTGCCCTCTCGTCTCCATCCCTAGAAACCCGTGTCTCCACCACACGCGATGGGGATGCTTCACTCCTCTCAGCTCCACCACGTCTCTCCTCCCCTGTCTCCACAGCCCAGCAGCAGCAGCCTCTCCCTGTCTTCATGACTTTCAGACAAAAGCCAGCATCTACCTCTGACATATTGAGGAAAGCAGGTTGGACATGGCTAATCTTTATAAATAATTCTTTTAGAATCTGTGAACACAGCCCCCTTCCCTGCGTCTCATCAGGATCATTGCATTTCCTCAAAAAAGCAACCTCCCTCCTCACGCATAGTCTTCTTACATTGGTATGATGGTAGATTTCTGCCTACATGGCAGGGATACAGCTGGCTCCAACACTCTGTTTTCCTTCAAACTTCAAATTTGGATAACTTATTTTTCCCTCTTAGTAGTAGGCAGAATTCTGACACTTGGCATTAAGAAAAAACTTTCTGTAATCCACTCTGAATTTTTTTTTTTTTTTTTTTTTTTTTAGCATTTATAACTCTGTAAGAGTTTAGGATAGTTTAGTTATGAGTGACAGAAAAATCTAAAGCAAACTGGCTTATACCAAAGAGAACTAATCAGCCATGTTGAGCATGACTGATTCCCTTGTGGTAGCAAGATGGCCACCTCCCACACTCACACCAAATTCTGTGGAAGCAAGAGAGTCCCTTCCTGGCATTCCTGAGCAAGTAAGTCCTCACATTTGCTTAGGAATGCCTGAAAGGATACTCATGTCCATTTGTTAATAGGAATCGATGAACAAATGTACATGAGTATCCTTTTTTTTCTGGTATCAATATGTTTAATTGATTATTATTGCAAAAGAACAGTTTTCCTGGCCAGGTGCGGTGGCTCACGCCTATAATCCCAGCACTTTGGGAGGCCGAGGTGGGCGGATCACAAGGTCAGGAGTTTGAGACCAGCCTGGCCAATATTGTGAAACCCTGTCGCTACTAAAAATACAAAAATTAGCCAGGCATGATGGTGCGCGCCTGTAGTCCCAGCTACTTAGGAGGCTGAGGCAGGAGAATCGCTTGAACCCAGGAGGCGGAAGTTGGAGTGAGCCGAGATTGAGCCACTGCACTCCAGCCTGGTGACAAAGCAAGACTCCATTTCAAAAAAAAAAAAAAAAAAAAAAGGCTGGCACAGTGGCTCATGCCTGTAATCCCAGCACTTTGGGAGGCCGAGGCAGGCCGATCCCCTGAGGTTGAGAGTTCGAGACCAGCCTAACATGGAGAAACCCCGTCTCTACTAAAAATACAAAATTAGCCGGGCGTGGAGGTGCAGGCCTGTAATCCCAGCTACTTGGGAGGCTGAGGCAGGAGAATCACTTGAACCCGGGAGGCGGAGGTTGCAGTGAGCCAAGATAGCGCCATTGCACTCCAGCCTGGGCGACAGAGCGAAACTCCGTCTCAAAAAAAAAAAAAAAAAAAGAACAGTTTTCCTATGATTAGTGAAATAGAAAACTCACAATATAGTCATGCCAGAACCACCTTCTGGAACCAGAAAGATGGAATATGCCATTTTGCTTAGCTTTGTTGAAGAGAAGGGATGGCTGTCATGAAGCACAATTGGGATGATATTTCCAGAAGCTGAGGGAATGGATACTAGGGAGCACAAGGGGAAGTGCCCTCTAGAGCAGGGGTCGCCAACCCCCTCGGGGTACCAGTCCGTGTCCTGTTCGGAACTGGGCCGCACAGCAGGAGGTGAGCAGTGGGCGAGGGAGCATTACCACCTGAGTTCCGCCTTCTGTCAGATCAGCCACAGCATCAGATTCTCACAGAAGCTCGAACCCTATTGTGGATTGCACATGCGCGGGATCTCGGCTGCGCGCTCCTCACGAGAATCATATCACTTCCTGATGGCCTGAGGTGGAACGGTTTCATCTCGAAACTACTCCCCATCATCCGTGGAAAAATTGCCTTCCACAAGCCTGTCCCTGGTACCAAAAAAGTTGGGGACCACGCCTGTAATCCCAGAACTTTGGGAGGCCGAGGCGGGCGGATCACGAGGTCAGGAGATCGAGACCATCCTGGCTAACACGGTGAAACCCCGTCTCTACTAAAAATACAAAAAAATTAGCCGGGCGTGGTGGCGGGTGCCTGTAGTCCCAGCTACTCGAGGCTGAGGCAGGAGAATGGCGTGAACCCGGGAGGTGGAGCTTGCAGTGAGCCTAGATCGCGCCACTGCACTCCAGCCTGGGCGACAGAGCGAGACTCCATCTCAAAAAAAAGAAAAAAGAAAAGTTGGGGACCGCTGCTGTACGGGAGCCAACAGCTCTCTAACTAATACTTAAAAATAGAACCTCACCTTACCCCTCTTTCTTTATCCTCCTCATGGCCTAGCACACAGCTCTAGGTCTATGGTAAGTACCTTTATGCATGTTTGCATGAGTGAATGAATAAGTAACCTGAACATTTATTTTTGTTATATTGAATATATTTTTAGAAATACTACCAAAAAATGTTAAATGCCTGCTTTCTTGATGTTCTTTGCCTCAAATTTTCAGTTTGTGTTTGGTATATTACCAAATAAAAAAGAGCATGAGATAGAACAGAGTGACCAGTCTTTTCAATATTTGGCTTTTTCTTTAAAGGACACTTATTTTAAAATGCAACAGCTATAGACATGCTCGGTGGTGGGGAGGGGCTATAGAAGAATTCATCCAGAAACATGGCACCAACTTTCTCAAAGATCATCGATTTGGGTCATATGCTGCTATCCAAGAGAATGCTTTAGCTAAATGGTAAGTTATTATTTCTCTAAGCCTGTCAAGGCAGTCATAGCATCTAATATTACACTGGCCTAAATTCACCTGGAATCAGTTTTCAAAACTGTGAAAGATTATGCATTATACTTAACAAGGGCTTCTCTTTTTGTGATAATTATGGGACTACCTGATTATAGATTAGTTTTTCAATTGTTGCTTTTAAGATTTTTCACAGTGAGCTTAGCTAGCTTTAGATTTTGAAGTTTGAATTTTAAAGCTAACTTCATACATTTCTTTAATGATGCAAATGGAAGGTTTATTTAAGTCATTACCCCTAATTTAGGAAAAAGCATTTACTTGCTAGATATTTCTTTTAAATAAAGTCATGCTTAGCATGTTTTTCTACCCGTGGATTGGAAGCTAGTTTGTTTTCAGTCTCAGAACTGTATGTAAGAAAAACTGTATGTAAGTTCAACAGGATAGGAAAATTAATCTGGCTCCTTATGATGATGAGGCTCAATAAATTTGTTGTTCTCTAAGCAGAGAAAAATCAGGCTGCTTACACTTACTGCCCTTCCTAGGCAGCAGAGGAAACTTGGTATTTTCAATCCTTGTTTTCCAGGTCCACAAAGTCAATGGTGGTTATGTGTTATGTGGAGACTCTAGGCAGTGGCTTCCATGTTTTGCTTTACCATAAGATAAGTTTCTTTTCTTTTCTTTTTTAATAACAAAAAGGAACAATAAACTTGTCTTTCAGGTATGTTAATGCCAAAGGATATTTTGAAGATGTGGCAAATGCAATGGAAGAGGCAAATGAAGAGATTTTTATCACAGACTGGTGGTTAGTATTTGTCCCTGGGAATTTTTTTCTGGAAGTCTCTATGTTTAGAAATGTACAGTGGTATAGTGCTGTTCAAGAATTACACATTATGAAAATCAGCTGTATCTGTGGATGGTTTGGCCAGGGTCTCAACCAGTTGACTAAGCCTTCAGTGAAAGGCCTTTTCAAAAACCTTGGCCTCAACAATATTCATAAAATACTTAGTTTGAACAATTAGGTTTTATATTTGCATTTGGAAGCAGACTTCCAAGTTTTCATGTCAGTAAAGATTATACTGTAATGCAAGTACAGTTATAGAGGTAATGGTGTCTTTGGATGTCTTTTTCTAATTTTGGTATGTCTGTCATGAGGGCCAGTGAATATACTTCTTCTAAATTGTCCTTTTGATGTTGAAATAGTTCCACTTGCCTGTTACCGTAAAAATATCCTCTGTAATGACTAGGCCTGGTCAGCTGTTCTAGAGATACATCCGGTTTCAACTTTGTGACCACCTTAAAAAAATATCCATAAGAGTTGCTATGCTTATTAAAGTCACCAGAAGCCTCATATCGGAAACTCATTTAACTCTTGGGAAATTTACTCCTGTAGTTGGTGTAGGCATTCTAGTCTGACTTCAGTTCCAATCATTCATCTGCCTGGAAAGTTAAAACCCATTACACATGCCAACACTGGCTACGATGGATATGGAAATGTCTAAAATGTGTTTTCCTTCTAGGAACTTAGTAGTAGTTGCCTGAATTACCCCTTATTTTACTCTATCCGGTTTTCTTCCAAAAGGTACCTTATAGGAACTGTTAATATATCATCATAATTTATTCCCTTCTAATTCTAGGTTTTGTGGGCAATATCAATATCTAATTCAAGAATGCAAACACATCTTTTGCTTCGGTTGTCTGGAATCTATAATTATAAGGCATGCTTTCTTAACCTTTGCCCTGTTGACATTTGGGGCTAGATAATTCTTTGTTGTAGGGGGCTGTCCTATGCATTGTAGGGTGTTTAGCGGCATCCACTAGGTACCAGTAGTAAGTTCCCAGTTGTGACCACCATAATATCTTCATACATTGCTAGATGTTCCCTGGTTGGGGTTGGGAGAGGATGCAAGATCCTTGTCGGCTGGGAATCACTGATCTAGAGGGGATAGACAGGGTATGTGGTGGCCAGCATGCTCATGCTTGTGGAGGAGCTTAATTCTGGTCTTTCTATTGTTACCAAATTTTGTCTTTTCAGTCAGTTACTAGGAGGAAAAAATGTTTCATGCTTAGGAGCTATTTCTTTGGTTGAATATTTTATGAACACTTGTGATAATAAATTTGTGCCAGTGAGTACTATATTCTTTAAAAAATATTTCTGAAAGTTTGGTGAAGATGTGAGAGAGACTAAAAATAATTTTTCTATTGAGCCTAGATTTTCATGCTTTATGTCTGAACACCAAAATTTTTTTAACTTTTAAATTCAGGGGTACAACTGCAGGTTTGTTAAATAGGTAAACTTGTAGCATGGGAATTTGTTGTATGGATTATTTTATCACCCAGGTATTAAGTCTTGTACCCACTAGTTATTTTTCCTGATCCTCTCCCTCTACCTTCTGAAAGGCCCTAGTGTGTGTTGTTCCCTTGTATGTGTCCATGTGTTCTCATCATTTAGCTCCCACTTATAAGTGAGAACATGTAGTATTCGGTTTTTTGTTCCTGTGTTAGTTTTCTAAGGATAATGGCCTCCAGCTCCATCCATGTTGCTGCAAAGGACATGATCTCATTCTTTTTTATGGCTGCATAGTATTCTGTGGTGTATATGTACCACATTTTCTTCATCCAGTCTACCATTGATGGTCATTTAGGTTGATTCAATTAAACATATAAAGAGATGGAACTCTGAATGTTTTCCTCTCTACTTTCAGCAAGAGAATGAATCGGGGTTACTTATTTTTCACGACTGCACTAGGATACCATTTTATTACAACACATCATTAGAAATAAAACCTTCACAGTAACTTCCCTCAAACAAGTAAAGAAAATTCTTGTTGTACAAGCATATTGCAAAAAGGAGCATTCAGAAACTTAACCAAACACTAGTATGCGTAGATCTGAGAGAGTGGGGTTATCTACCAGTCTCTGTATGGAGTCAGTATGTTAAATGTGTCAGAAATAGAATTAATAAAACAGGAGAATACAAAAGAAAAACAATGAACAGAGATTTTTAAAAGAGGGTGTTTGTAAAGGGTAGAGAAACAGAAGAGACAAAGGTTGGGCCGGAGACAAAGGTTATAAAGAAAATAAATCAGCATTGCATTACTAACTGACTCACAAACAAAGACTATTCCAGGTAAAAGAATACATGTTTTAAAAGTATTTAAGTTGGTTTTAAATGCAACATTCTTTAAGTTGGTTTTAATATTGTTAGTGTTTTTCAAATGATGGGTTGAGCCTCTTTAGTAATTGTGTATTAAAATAATTTGGTAAGTTGTGACCAGCATTTAAAAAAAAAAAGAATGGCATAGGATAGGAAAGGGAAGGGAAAAGAAAGAAAGGGTACAATGTAAGTGGTAATAAGGGCTACTAATTTTGGAAACTTTTATATCAGTTGTAGATAGATAGATAGATAGATAGATAGATAGATAGATAGATAGACTGACTGACCCGGTGTTGGTTTGGGTGTATAATGTATTTCTTTCTGCAGCTTATGGTCCAAAAGTTTAAAAGTTTTAAAGCCACTGACTTTCAAAAATGGTTAGTAACCTTTTTCTTTAAAGAGCAAGAGAGTAAATTTGTTTTAGGCTTTTCAAATCATGTATGGTCTCTGAAGCATATTTTTTTTACAACTCTTTAAAAATATAAAAACCATTCTTAGCTCACAGGCCATACTAAAACAGTCTATGGGCAACATTTGGCTTGTGAGCTATAGTTTGTTGACACCTATCTTAGAAGATAGATTTAATTTACCACATTTTATCAATACTAAGAGCTAAATGTAGTGTTTTCCAAAGTTGTACCATTTTACATTTTCACCAGCAATGTATGAGAGTTTCAATTCTTCCACATAATTGCTAGCACTTGATGTTGTCAGTCTTTATTTCAAAGGGTATACAGTAGTGTTTTATTATGATTTTAGCTTGTATCAGCAACATCGTTTCATGTTGAGCAAATTTTCATGTGCTATTTGGACATTGGTTTAACTGTTCAAATCTTTTCCCTTTTTTTTGAGAGGGAGATTGTGTTAGTCTTCTTATTTAGTTGTAGGAGGTATTTGTACATTCTAGTTAAAGTGATTGTTCCATTTCATTCTGGCCTCCATGATTTCTGTTGAGAAATTTTCCATCTCTTGAAGACATTGTTCCCCTCTAAGTAATGTGTTATTTTTCCTCTGAGTGGTTTCAATATTTTCCTTCTGTCTTTAGTTTTCAGCAGTTTGGTTATGATGTTTGGGTTTATCCTGTTTGGGGTTCTCTGAGCTTCCTGAATCTGTAGTTTTATATCTTTTGCTAAATTTAAGAAATTGTTAGCCATTATTTCTTTACACATTTTTTCTGAACTTTCCTCTTTCTCTCCTCCTTCTGAGTCTTCAGTGACACAAATAGTATCTTATTTATTTGCCTTCAAATTCATTGACTCTTTCCGCTATGACAGGGTCCCCAACCTCCAAGCCAAACTGGTCCCCAGCCTGTTAGGAACCAGGCCATGCAACAGGAGGTGAGCCAGAGCTTGTCGGGGGAGGTAGCGAGCATGAGCATTACTGCCTGAGCTCCGCCTCCTGTCAGATCAGCCGTGGCATTAGATTCTCGTGGGAACATGAACCCTATTGTGAACTACGCATGTGAGGAATCTAGGCTGCCCGCTCCTTATGAGAGTCTAACTGGTGCCTGCTGGCCTATCTGAGGTGCAACAGTTTCATCCAGAAATTATCCTTACCCCCAGCTCCCACCCATGGAAAAAATTGTCTTCCATGAATCCGGTTTCTGGTGCCAAAAAGGTTGGGGACTGCTGCTCTATGATCTCCATTCTGGTATTGAGCCTATCCTGTGAGGTTTGGGGAATTTATTGTTTGCTTTTGTTTTTCTAGTGTTTTTGGTAATAGTGTTTTTCACTTTGAAAATTTTTATTTGGTTCTTCTTTATATCTTTTTCTATAAGACTTTTTTGTCTTTTCATTCATTTTAAGAGTGTTCACCCTTATTAGAGCATTTTTATAATATCTGACATAGCCTTAAGTAGATAATTTCAATATCCATGTCGTCTTGGTATTGACATCTGCTGATTCCCTTTTCTGTACAAGATAAGGTTTTTTTTTTTTTTTTTTTCCTGGTTCTTTGTGTGCCAGGTACTTTTAATGTATTCTAGAACATTTTATTATTATGTTATAAGACTCTTGAGTCTTGTTTGAATCCTGTGGAGAATGTTAGTATTTTTGTTTTAGCAGGCAATTTACCAATTTCAGTTCAGGCTTAAAGTTCCAACCAGCCTTTTATGAGTGTTGTTTTAATGCCGGTTTTGTTGTTAATGCCTTTGTGGTGCTATTCAGATCTGCCCCATATGTGTGCCACCTAGTGGCCCTTCTGGGACTTCGGTGGTGGTCTATTCCTCAGTTCAGTTCTCAGCCTCTTTGGAGTGATGTTTAGGATGAAATCCATGCATAGGCAGCTTGGGAATGAGCCAGGAAATCAGAAACAACTTTATGGAGCTGCTTTTCTGAGCTCCTCTCCCCAATTTTTAGTTTCCCATGGCTTCCCTTTTTAGTCTTCTAGCCAGAAAGATGGGTTTTTATTTACTGTGCTCTGCAATGTGCTTTCTCTGATGGCACCCATGTCCAGAGCCAAGCCAGGTGTATTTACATCTCCATTGGAGAGGAGATTTCCCCTGCCTCAGAGGTTTTAGTAACTTTGGGCTTTCCACTGCAACCCTGTCACTACCAGAGATCCTTTGCTTTCTCCCCAAGCCTGAACTAGAGGATTTTTGAAGTTCTCTCTGTGCCAATGCCTGTTTCCAAGTTTTCCCTCCAAGTCAAGGAATCAAAGGGAGAAAAATGTTAAACTTACCACTGGTTAGGTGGTACTTCTTTTTCTATATTGAGGCTTCCACTTATTTAGCTCTTATGTAATTTTTCTCAGCAATATTTTGTATTTTTCTATGTATAGGTCTTTACATATTTTGTTAAATTTTTTACTGAGTACTTTATGTTTTTTGATATTATTGTAAATTATATTTTAAAATTCATTTTCCATACAGAACTAGAAATGCAATTGATTTTTGTGTATTTACCTTATAGCTTGTGACCTTGCTAAATTAATTTATTAGTGCTGGTAGCTTTTTTGTAGATTGCTTAGGGTTGTCCTATAGATGATTATGTGATCTACGAATAAAGACAGTTTTACTTCTTCTGTTCTAATCTGTATGCTTTATATTTTATTTTCTTGCCTTGTTGCATTGGCTAGTATCACCAGTAAAATGTTGAATGAAAGTGGTGAGAATGCCTTGTTTCTAATCTTAAGAGGAAAGCATGCAGTTTTGTTATGTTATGTGTGATGTTAGAGATAGATTTTTTTATAGGTACCCTTTATTACACTACGGAAGTTTTTTTCTATTTCTAATTTGTTGGGAGTATTTATTGTTAATGGATATTGAATTTCATCATTTCTTCTGCATTTGTTGAATAATAACGTTTTTCTCCTTTTTGTTGTTACTGTGGTGAATTGCACTGATTGATTTCCAACTTTTAAACCAACCTTATATCTTAGGATAATCCCACTTGATCATGATGTAGTATTATTTTTCTAAGTTGCTGTGTTTTTGGTAAATATTTTTACTTCTGTGATCATAAGGGATGTTCTTTAGTTTTCTTGCATTGTCTTTATTTGGTTTTAGTATCAGGATAATGCTGACCTCATTAAATAAGATAGTAAGTGTTCCTCCTTTGTTTACTGAAAGAATTTAGGTAGTACTAGCATCATTTCTTTCTTAAATATTTGATAAAATTCAAATATTTAATAAATTCTGTAAATGTTTAATAAATTCTGTAAAGTTGGCAAAGTCTGTAGTTTTCCCTGTAGGAAAGTTTTAATTACAAATTCAGTTTTTCAATAGCTATGAAGTCAGTTTCAATTTCTTTTTATTTTCATTATGAAAATATTTTATTCAAGGAATATGTTTATTTTATTTAAATTACCACAAATATTGGCATACAGTTATTTTTAATAGTTATTATTCATTTAATATAATTATAATGCCTCTAGGCCCTATAGTGATTACCTGTCTTTCACTCCTTTTTTTTTTTTGAGACAGGGTCTTCCTTTGTTGCCCAGGCTGAAGTGCACTGACATGATCGTGGCTCACTGCAGCTTCAACCTTCTAGGTTCAAGCAATCCTCCTACCTCAGCCCCCCGAGTAGCTGGAACTACAGACATGAGCCACCATGTCTGGCTAATTTTTTAAATTTTTTCGTAGAGACAGGGTCTTGCTATGTTGCCCAAGCTGGTCTCAAACTCCTGGGCTTATGCAATCCTCCCATTTTAGCCTCCCAAAGTGCTGGGTTTATACATGTGAGCCCATCCTTTCAATCATTTTTTTGTCATTTATTTTTAGCCTTGCTAGAAGTTCACAAATTTTATTGATATTTCAAAGAGTCAACATCTAGTTTCATTGAATTTTCTCTGTATTTTTTCAGGTTTGTATTTCATCAAGTTCTACTCTTATATTTATTATTCCCCCATCTTCTTACTTTGGGTTTAATGTCTTCTTTTTCTATCTTTTAAGAAAGGAAAGTCTGATCATTAATTTTTAATTTTTTGTCTTTCTCATGTAAGCATTTAAAGTCATTAAATCTTCTAAGTGGTACACTTACTTAGAGGTACGTCTTAATATCTCCGCAATCAGGATGCATCTTATGCTCTTACAGTTATAGTTGTCATGATGTTTTCTTTCTTAGTGGTACATGCAGTAACGATGCATCCTACAGTCACTGGTGTCCTAGATCCAATGAAATGTAATATTAAACAATAACTTTGTTTACAAGTAAGTAAAGATTCTTACATAATAATGCTTGGTAAGTTATAGCTGCTTTCTTCTTGCCATGCAGCCATGGTTTATACTTTTATAGCATGATATAACAAAATCTTTTTTTCTTTTTATGCATTATCCTCAAAATTGAGGGCTCCTCAAGAGCTATCTTAAGATTCTTCAAAGTATCTTGTAGAATGCTTAGCATACAAGGGTACACATGTTTGTGGATTAAATGAAATAAATGATGATAAATACTTAATTGCAGAGTATGACATTAAAAGTCTCCCCCATACCGAAGCTCTTTGAGCCCATATTTAATGTACACATCAAAAAATTGCAATTGTATATATGTTGTTGGCTATCTCTCACTTTTGGTGAACTAGCAGTGCACAGCAATGCATTTTACTATTTTAAAACAGATTTCCTTTTAATGCTTCTTTGATCTTTTCTGATCAATTGCTGTGCTTTATTTGTTTGTTTGCTTGTTTGGACATAGATTACCTTTGAGTTTGTTTCCTACTCTCAATTAAATATGCAAGACTTACACTGTCCAAACTCTTCCATTTGTCTGTTTCCTTATTTATTTTACCCAATAACGTTTCCTTTAGAAACTTTATCTCTGGGTTTTTATTTTCTTTAACTGAATGAAATAGAGCATAAAATTGATTTCTTTTAATCTCTTTAGCTCCTTAAAGCACTGTTGATTTCACATGCTTAGAGGGCTGCCTGGGAGGGCAATACTCCAGTGCAGAATTCCATAAGGCTTTCATCCTGACATAGTCTACCTCTGCTGCCTCAGGTCTAGCAGTTCAGTGGAGAAAGGAGTATTTTCTACTGCTTCTTTTTTCTAACTACAGGGAAGTTACATCATGTACATGTTTAACTCAGAAACTAACTTTAGAACCCAGCCCCAGGGGAAAAATGACTCTATTGTACTCTTAGCTGCCTTGTGAAGCTTAGCTTACCTTAGCTGCCTTATGCCTTACTGAAGGAGAAGAGCCTAGGAAAAATTTCATATATCAGCCGACCTTCCTTCTCCCCTGTCCAGAAAGCCCCAGGTTCCCTCAGATGCTGCTTCTTTGTATAGGAAGTCATGTGTCTGTGTATCTATTAGAATGCTTTTAGTTTGGGGTAACAGAATGTTCAACTAAAGAGGGCTTAAACACTGAGGATGTATTTTTCACATTTAATGTTAAGTCTAAAGTTGGGCAATCCTGAGGTTGGCAGAGTGATTTAGTGATTCTGGGGTTATGGTCTTCCCCTTAGAATTTCAATATTGCTGCACCCCTGTAAGCATCATACTCCCATACAACATCCATCCCAAAGCTGGAAGTGTGGGCAGGGCTTTCTCTGAGAGAGAGGGAGAGAGAGCAAAAGAGAGGGAGGGAGAGAGAGCGAAAGAGAGGGAGAGGGAGAGAGAGAGAGAGAGTGTGTGTGTGTGTGTGTGTTTGTGTGTGTGTTTCAGGGAGGAAAAACTTTCCCATTAAGCCCCTGTGTACCTCCTCATATATCTCATTGTTCAGGATTGTGTCACGTTGTGCTCTAGCTGCACAGGAGTCTGGGAAAGCAAGTATCTAGAATATTCAGTCTGTGGTGGGAGAGAGGCTCTGAGAGCAGGGAAGAAGTTGGAGATTGGCTGTGGGTGGGCAACCAACAGTACCTGTGTGCATATGTGAGCATGTGGGTATGAGAGACAGTTAAAGAGGGGGGAGAGAGAGAGAGAGAGAGAAAGAACTAAGATTGATGTTTTGTATAGCTAAAGGCTATTTTTCCCATACGAAGTTGTTCCTAGACTCATAGTAAAGCTTTGGATTACCCATCACAATGGAGGATGATAATGGGGTTGAATTGGGCTGAAATTGCCTTTGCTTCCTATGACACAATCAGAACTTTATATTTTGTTTTAGTTACTTAAAATCTTGGTTTCATTGTTTCAGGCTGAGTCCAGAAATCTTCCTGAAACGCCCAGTGGTTGAGGGAAATCGTTGGAGGTTGGACTGCATTCTTAAACGAAAAGCAGTATGTACTTTCCCAGAAAATGCTGATATAATTTTTTAACTGTCTGTTGTCTCTGAAATGCTTTTCTTTTCAAAGCCTTTCACACGTATAACTTTTCACTTTAGAGTTTGACAAAAAGTAGGATAACTAATGTTTTCCAGTTCATTTGGTTCTATTTTATTCCTATTGCTTTTGAGTGCATAAATATTTTAGACTAATTCACAGCATGGATTATGTTAGCATCTCTAATTCTTATTTTTGAATCAGTTATGGGCAGCTAATTTTATAGGCAAAAAAATTATAATAAAATTTCATCATTGAATAATAAATGATGAAATGGAGCATAGCATTTAATTGTATTCATTATTTTGTCATTTAAGCAAAAGGAAAACTCATCTGGAGAATGGTTTCAGCTAGATGGGGCTAATGTGGTGTAGAATAATATTAAAGGGGGAGGAATAGTCACAGTTGGTGGTGTTTTTTCTCTGGTTTTGGTAAAGTTCCTGGTAAAAATGTGAAACTGTTTCCTGTGGAGTTGACCCTGTACATTCTGGGTGAACATTGAATGTGTGCTTTTTAGGTATAAAAAGTAAATAACTGAAGCAGCCTAGGCTCACTAATGACTGCATTCATATTTCTAGTGATTTTTTTAATGTAATAGGCCCTTAAAATTAAATCAGTTTAAATTAAAAATAGATCTGGGATTTATTATTTAGCATGTCCAAATTAGGAAGTGCTAACTTTTTGCTATTATCAGAAACTGTCTTAACCTTTTTTTTTTTTTTTTTTGAGATGGGGTTTTGTTCTTGTTGCCCAGGCTGGAGTGCAATGGTGCAGTCTCGGCTCACTGCAACCTCTGCCTCCCAGCTTTAAGCAATTCTCCTGCCTCAGCCTCCCAAATAGCTGGGATTACAAGTGCCCACCACCATGCCTGGCTTTTTTTTTTTTTTTTTTGTATTTTTGTATTTTTAGTAGAGACGGGGTTTCACCACATTGGCCAGGCTGGTCTTGAACTCCTGACCTCAGGTGATCTGCCCACCTCGGCTTCCCAAAGTGCTGGGATTACAGGCTTGAGCCACCGCTCCCGGCCAACCTTTTTTTATTCTGTCATTAAACATGCTAGCAGAACGTGTGGAGCCTAAATAATTGGGGTTAGCATTTTTCTGTTTCTCATAGCTTTCACTCATTTCTTCTTTCCTATCCTCTGCATTCCACTTTTTATTTCCCCATTCACTTTCCCCTTTTCTTTCTGTATCTTTTCCCCATGCATTTACTTGAGTATTTCTGGGGATATCCACAAATATAGTCAGACCTCACTGCTAATATTGAAAGCAAAAGAAATTGATAATATTTATTTGAAACACATTCTGCCAAACAACATCATTTTGATGGATAGTCTAGTTTGTTTCATCAATAGAATTCCAGTTACAGAATTGGACATTTTGATTCTGAAAACATTATTCACATATTTATTAAATAATTCATCATACGGTTACTGTCTCCTATGAGCCAGCTTCTACGGTAATCACTAAGAATGCCACCATGAATCAGATTTGAACCTTGCCAGTGGCGAACTTGCTGAGGGACTCATGTCTTGGGCTCAGTCCTAGCCTTACCAGACTACTTTCTACCTATTGAATGGGCAGTAACTTTCTCTATGTTTCTCTCAATGAAATGGCATCTTTTCCATTTTCCCTCAAGATTCTATTTTAGTACATTTTTCCAGCCTTGCGTAGCAATCTGTACTAATACTAGTAAATTTTTGCTTATAATATTTAATCAGCACCTCACTGTTTTAGGTTTCAATCAATATGTATTTATTGAATGTTTTCTATGTGCAGGGCATTTGGCTAATCATATGAGGATGTACATAAATAAAAGCCATGATTCTTAAGTTGAAGGAGCTTATAAAATCTGCAGAAGTGTCAGTTGCATGCAGAAACAATGCCCCGATTTAATGGCAAGAGGGAAAGCATTGGGCTTTCCCAATGGAAAAGGTCCAGTTGGGGAGCTCCACACAACATGAAGGATGTGGGGCATTTAGGATGGACAAACATTTTTAAAAGGGAAAGAAGAACTTTCTAGGTGTAGTAGATGTAAACAGCAGTGCCAAAGACTTTGTCAGGCACGGTAGGGTGGTTCATCACATCTGAGTGTTAGCATAGCCGGATGGGGGATTAAGCTGGAACTGCTAGTTGCAGCTGGGATGCAGAGGCTTTGTGAGCCAAGCTAGTGGTTTGACTTTATGGGAGACAGTGGGGCAGTACTGTGCGGGGCAGGGCGGTGTGGGGAAGCAGGGGTGGTCTGATCAAAATAATGTGTCGGACCCCGTCTCTACTAAAAATACAAAACAATTAGCCGGGCATGGTGGCGGGCGCCTATAGTCCCAGCTACCCGGGAGGCTGAGGCAGGAGAATGGCGTGAACCCGGGAGGCGGAGCTTGCAGTGAGTCGAGATTGTGCCACTGCACTCCAGCCTGGGCAACAGAGCAAGACTCTGTTTCAAAAAAAAAAAAAAAAAAAAAAAAAGGTGTCCGGAAGGTGACTCTGATAGTGGAAGAAACTGGGAAGAGCTGATTCAGAAAGCTAAAGTTTAGATCACTTGAAGATACAGTGTCTACAAGACATCTAAGTTAACTTGAGAAAGCTAGTAAATGCCTCGGTAGGGCTCAGGAGGAAGATCCTGCAGGCCTGGCTTCCACCTCTTGTTTGCTGGCATGCGCTTGTTTACTGCCCTTGGCATACCTGTCTGGTTACCTTTTCTGTGTCTAGTGTGACTTCTCTTTACTTTTTTGGCCCTTGAACCCTGGCGAGGTCCCTCGTGAACACCATGGCCAAATAAACGTTATTGCCTGATAACAGTGCTTCATTTCCATTTCATCCACTTCTTGGAGCTGGTAATTTTTAAACTGTGGGTAGCGATATTTAAAATTTCCTAAAGAAATAGTAATACAATTAAAGATTGATTTCTTGGTGGTACATTTAGCGGAGTTGCTCTTCCTTAATCTCATTCCACCATATTATTACTTTGTTCATAAATTTTTTAACACTCGGATCACTCCAAATTGACATTTTATATGCACATAAATATGGCTTCACATAAATAATTTAGTTTCTGAAAGCCACACACTAGCTTTGCAAAGTATGAGGTTGAAACATAATATTTGTTTTTTGCATTAACAGGTCCCAGAGGTCCACAAGGTTTATTAAAATGAATGTTTTATTTTCTTCTATCTGATTGTGCAGATATTCTGAGAGGAATTTAGGAACTGTCTCTGCCTTATAGCCAACGTATGGCAAACATCTCTTATGATGGCTGTTTCTTAAGAAAAAATAGAATATTTTATGTATCTGATTAATAACCAAGTTGAACTTCTCCTATTTCTTTGGCCTTCTGATCTGCAATGCCATCATTTAAAATAATAAAAGCCAATCTTCAGAGGCAGACTGTTCACAACTCAAAGAAATCAGCATCTCAGGGCTTTCCACAGTTCTGCACTTGCTATGCTAAGAGGTGAGATAAGCTGCATCATACTTATGGCAGCCAAATCCCCACACGCAATTTTGTGTATCTCAACCTTAGAAGCTTGTGATATTTCCTATGAAACTTAGACTAATGGGAGAATTTGTCTTCAGGTTGATTTTCTGTCCTGGATCACAAGGCACAATGTAGAGTTGCAGTCAGTGACCAATAAAAGGGAAAGTTGTCCAGAACTGAGAAATGACAGGAATAATCACATCTCTACACAGAAAATCAAATGAGTCTTATCAAAGTGGTGGGCAACAGTGGCTTGCAGGGAAGGTATCTTCAGCTTCAAAAATGTGCTTCAAACAAAATTGGATTTTAAAAAAAGGCACATGAGCTTTTGTGCTCTTATATCCCAATGCTGCCTGCTTTTAAACGGTGAGGAAGTGATTTCTTTATATCCTTTACTTTACATCTTTACATTTTCTTAATATATTGTATTGGGGAAGTCCTTGGCAAGTGACAAAAACATTAGTGAGCATCCTGGGTTGGGGGGGTGGGGTGGGCTAAACTGTCTTCAGGCAGTGGACAAACTTGGCTGCATTTAGAAAATATTTTCACTATGCTCCCTTGAGCAATCGGAGGAAAAGTTGGCTAAGAAACAAAGTCACTGATTTCCACTATAAAAATTTTCTTTTCATTGTCTTCCCATGTAGTTTGAATATCTAAAGCTCCTAAAGATTTCTACTGTTTATAGTGTTATGTCTGCTCTACTTGACAAAAAACTAATTAGAAAAGAGGACAGAACTTTCATCTTTTAAAAGTCATGTTTTATGAAATTTATTCTATGGAAACTTTGGGTCAGCTGAGTTCACCAGAGATAAGAAACACTGCATTGCATAGGCAACTCCAGGCCATCTGTTTTTCTACTTCTCCTATTAATAATTTCCGTCCCTTTCTTTAAGCAAAAAGTAATTTCCCCAAGGGTATTTAAAGGCACTAGGCACTAAAGCATGGGATGTTTTGAAAGTGTATTTTTTAAATTGCAGAATTAACATCATCAGGTTTTTTTTTCCTTTGGCTTTCATTTTGCAGAAATATTTCCCACATTTTGTATAAGCCTACACTATAACAACCTGGAAAATGCCTTCATCCCCAAGGAATGATTCATTCGCCTTTGCCCTTTATGGCTAGAGTTTATAATAGTCAATACCTTGACCAAAAGAAGAAGAATGCATTGCTTTATTATCACAGGAATCTTGTCACTAATTAACTGTTTATTGTGGCTATAGGTGTAGGTAAATAATTATAAACCACATACAAATGAACTTTCTATCTTTAATTGCTTCCTCATTGGTCATTTGTCTTTAAGCTAAAAAGACAAAGTCTCTACCCTATTTCCTTTAGAATTATTTCAATGAGAAAAGACAGTATAGAAGAAATGTCAGGTATTAATAAATGGAGAGTAGTAATGTATTCCATTAGTGTTAATATCTCTATTATTTCAAAAATCCATTAGTTATGCAGGTGAGTAGAAAACTGTAGGATTCAGGCCAAGTTCCTAATTTGCAACTACTACTCTTCATGAGTAATAATGTCTTAAGCCTAAGAAGCAGAATTTCATCTGCTTAAAATAAATGGGTCATGATGAAGAATGTCAGGTGTAATGTTCTACTATTTAGGTTGAAATTTTGGGTTTTACCCTTTGTATTATATCTTTTAGTGAAAGGCTTTTTTTTTTTTGTAACCATTATTCAGTGCTGAATTCTAAAATATTCAAATACCAAAAATAGAACTGAACAGTAGAGGAGAAAAATAAAATAATATTGTAATTTTCCTTTAGAGCCCTTCATCAGTGGTTAATTACAGAGCACTCTCTGGCCAGACCATTAAAATTAATCTGTTCACTTTCTGCCTATGCTTTTACTTCTTTACTGAAATATGTATTTATATTCTTGATTGTAATAGTACTTGCATAATTATAATAAATAATTAGCAAGTACTAAAAGCCAGCTGTTAACCAGAGAAATAGTATGACATATATATTCTTCTTGATCCTGCTTTTTTTAGAGCAAGAATGAGTCTTCTCCTAGTACTCAAATCTTGTTAATGCACACCAGAATGTAAATCTAGTGTGCACCTCCAGAAATACATACACCTTTAAGATATTACTAACACCATGAAAAATAGAGTGTTAGTATTTTGAAGTGTTGTGTTATTATAAGGAATTTAGGGTCCAAAACGTGCTTTTTAGTATTGGCAGAACAATATTACAGAAATGTTTATGTGTTTGGTTTGCTCTAAGATTTTGTATCTTGTGATGTGATCTAGAATCTAAAAACATTAACTCCTATGTTATGTTAGATCGTATAGCATTACAAAAAGTTTTAGTTCTTGTAAAGTAGGTGTGTTCAACCCAGTAAGATATCTTAAAGATTTTTATTCAAATTTCCCTTATAAACAATGACTAATCACCATGGAATCTTAATATAAACTGTAACAAAATTATTTTTTATTATGGTTTATTAAATACACCTGCATCTGTAATATTCTAGAAAGTATTATGGAAAATTTTTACCTTTAATCTCTACGATATTAAATGCCAGGTGTCATTTAGATACATAATCCAGTATATATGCAAAATGTTTCAGAATGCTTTCAGAGCTGCTGGGTGCAAACAATGCAAATTAAAATGGTGCAAACTATACAAAAATAAGGAGGATTCAAGCCTAAAAAGTAAAAAAAGCAATCCACAAGGTGGGGGTGAATAAGCCACAGTTTCCTGGAGGTAATACATTCTGAACTATACATTGGAGGGGGATCCATGAGTGGGCAAGCAGAAGGAGAGGAGCATTCCAGTAAGGGGCAGTTTAGCCTAGCCTGAAAGCCTGTCACCAACCAGAACTAGAATGGAAAATACCAGTGTTTTTCTATACTATTAGCTATTGGACCTGGTCTTTTGGTTTTTGTTTAAATCTTTTTTTCAGATGAGATGGGTAATGTGCAGACGTCGTAAGAAGGTTCGAGTGTGGCACATCTCACGCTTGTGTGTGAACACACAATCATCATGCTCATGAACTACAAAAGGATTGGACATTGTCTTTTTGATTATTAATATTGTTAAATAATTGTATTATTTGTATAGCATGTTAGCATCTACAAGGCACTTTTGATTTAATTTGACTCGATTAAATAGGCCACGGTGACCTTGTCTATTTTCTTTTAGATCCAAGGTCTAAGGAAGGATGAATCAATTGAATTTGGGTGTCCATTTTATACTAAAGTTTTCAATGTTTTGGATCTTTAATCAGTTATTGATTCTTTCTTGATATGACCAGTTGTAAGAATGGAAGGGAGATAGATTTTTATTTTTAATATTTGTGTCTCAATATACGCACTTATGTGTCACTTCCTTGTATTGCCTTTTTCATTAAAATTTTATCTTACTTGTTTATAAAAGAAGTTAGAAAGTACAGTGCAGGCCAGGTGCAGTGGCTCATGCCTGTAATCCCAGCACTTTGAGCGGCTGAGGCGGGTGGATCACTTGAGGTCAGGAATTTGAGACCAGCCTGGCCAACATGGCGAAATCCTGTCTCTACTAGAAATACAAAAATTAACTGGGCGTGGTGGCATGCGACTGTAATCCCAGCTACTCAGGAGGCTGAGGCATGAGAATTGCTTGAACCCGAGAGGTGGAGGTTGCAGTGAGCCGAGATTGCGCCACTGCACTCCAGGCTGGGTGACAGAGTGAGACTCTGAAAAAAAAAAGAAAGAAAGTACAGTGCAAAGGAAAAAGAAAATGAATTGTAACTTCCCTCCAGAGATACTCATTCCTCCATCGGTTTTCTCCTGTGACAGCAACAAGGAGTGAGGATCTTCATAATGCTCTACAAAGAGGTGGAACTCGCTCTTGGCATCAATAGTGAATACACCAAGAGGACTTTGATGCGTCTACATCCCAACATAAAGGTATTCAGGTTCATCTTGATAACCAATGTTTCTTTATTATTCTATAGGATTTTTTCAGGTATGTTTTGTTCTGGGCAGTAATAATCTATAGAATGCCCAAATGTATATTTGATCAAATAGCATTGTGTCCTCAGAAATAAAGCAAAATACTGTACTTTCTTATCTTCCCTACATTGATGGGGGTAAGCAGATCTCACATTTCTGCTTCTCTGACTCTGATAATTGAAAGTGAGAGTTTAGACAAGAACATGTTTCCTGCAGTTGTTTTGATATTCACGAGCTCTATCAAGTTCTCACACTTCTCATTATCCTGGAACCTCTTAGATGTGATCTCCCTGTGACATCCCCTGATCACTGATAGCAGCAAAGAGATCTCCTCTAGGATTTAAAATGCCTTAAAAAATCAATGGCACCTAGTATAAAATACTAATAAAGTAAATAAACATGAAAAGCAATTTGAAAAAGTTCTTTGATATTTTGCCAATATCTAAAACCTATCAATAAATATAACCCAGTCATTGAGGTACATCAAGACATAATGAATTAACAAACCTCCAGCAGGCTTAAAATATGTAACAATTGTATGTTTCACTTGGTTAGAAAAAATGAAAGTGTTTTCTCCCAAAGAATGATTTATTAGGTTGCGTAATTTATATATATTATTTATTCATTCACCAAATTTCTATCAAGTACCCACTAAAGATGTAATTTTGCAACACCAACAACTGTGAGGGAAGAGCTGTTAAAGGAGCAGAGATTTGTATGTTACTGAAGTTAAACTGGTATAAATACAAATTAGAATGTTACAACTTTAAGATGTTACATTTAACTGCAAAGAAAATAGCAATCAAATATATAGCTATTTAACAAAAAGAAATGAGAAAGGAATTTAAACATGTCACTACAAAAAATCAACCAAACAAAACAAGACAGTAATGCAGGAAATGAGAGACAAAAAAGCTATAAGACATGTAGTAGAAAATAGTAGCAAAATTACAGAAGTATCTTACAAATAATTACTTTAAATGTAAATGTATTGACCCCTCTAATCAAAAAACAGAGATTGGTAGACTGGATTTTAAGAAACCATGATCCAACTATATGGTATCTACAAGAGACTCACTCTAGCTGCAAAGACACAAATAGGTTGAAAATGAAAGGATGGAAAGGGTATTTCACACAAATAGTAACCAAAAAAGAGCAAGAGTGGCTAAACTAGTATCAGACAAAATAGACTTTAAATCAAAACATGCTTACAAGAGACAAAGAAGGACATTATATATTAATAAAAGGTTCAATACAGCAAGATATAAAAATTATACATATTTATGTACCTAATAACAGATAATCGAAATATATGATTGAAAGGAGAAAAAGACAGTCTATGATAATAGTTGGAGACTTCAACATCTCACTCTCAGTAATGGTTAGAGCAACCAGACAGAAGATAAGTAAGAAAACAGAGGACTTGAACGTACAGTAAACCAACTGGATCCAATGGGCATACAGAACATTCTACCCAACAACAGCAGGATACACATTCTTCTCAAGTGCACTTGGGGCATTTTCCAGGACCATCTGTTAGGCTGCTAAGTAAGTCCTAATAGATTTTAAAAGGTAGATATACAAACATCTGTCTGACCACAAGATAATGTTAGAAATTAATAACAGAAGGACAACTAGAAAGTTCACAAATTTGTGGAAATTAAATAACACACTGTTAAACAAGCAATGATAAAACAAAAATTCACAAGGGAAAGAGAAAATACTTAGAGACAAATGAAAATGAAACAACATACCAAAATTATGGGACACAGAGAAAGCAGTGCAAAGGGGGAAATTTACAGCTATACTTGCAAGAAGAAGAAAGATCTCAAAATAACAACCTAACTTTACAGTTTGAGGAACTAGAAAAAGAAGAACAAACTCAACCTAAAACTACCAGAAGGAAGGAAATAAAGATTGGAGCAGTGGGAAATAAAACCAGAGGATAGAAAAATAATACAGAAAATCAATGAAACCAAGTTGGTTTTTTGAAAAGATAAAATCAACAAACCTTTAGCTTGGTGGGCTAAGAAAAAAAAAGACTCAAGTTACTAAAATCAGAAATGAAAGTAGAGACATTACTACCAATTCTACAGAAATAAAAATGATTCTAAGATATTACTGTAAGCAATTCGATAACCTAGAGGAAATGTACAAGTTCCTAGAAATAAGAAAACTACCAAGACTAAATCATGAAGAAATAGAAAACCTAAATAGACCTTTAACTGGTAAGGAGATTGATCAGTAATTAAAAATCTCCCCCAGATGAAAAGCCAGGGACCTGGTGAATTCTACCAAACATTTAATGAGGAATTACCACCAATCTTTCTCAATCTTTTTCAAAAATTGAGGAGAAGAGAAGACTCTCTAACTCATTACCCTGATACCACTGAATTGTACACTTAAAAATGGTTAAGATGGTAAATTTTATGTTATGCTTACTTTACTACAATTTTTAAAAAATGTGTTATTAAGAAAACAGTAAGGCCAGGTATGGTGGCTCATGCATGTAGTCCCAGCGCTTTGGGAAGCTGAAGTGGGAGGGTGGCTGGAAGCCAGGAGTTCAAAACCAGCATTAGCAACATAGCAAGACACCCATATCTACAAAAAACAAAAAGATTAGCCAGGCATGGTGGTACACGCCTATAGTCCCAGCTACTCAGGAGGCTGAGGCAGAAGGATCGTTTGAGCTCAGGAATTCAAGGCTGCAGTGAG
This sequence comes from Homo sapiens, assembly GCF_000001405.40. Classification (NCBI taxonomy): domain Eukaryota; kingdom Metazoa; phylum Chordata; class Mammalia; order Primates; family Hominidae; genus Homo; species Homo sapiens. The sequence continues at coordinate 171,689,571 of NC_000003.12, read as the reverse complement.
CTATGATCACGTGTCTACACTCCAGCCTCAGTGAGAGTGAGTCTCTGAGAAAGAAAGAAAGGAAGGAAGGAAGGAAGGAAGGAGGGAAGGAAGGAAAAGAGGAAAGTAGTTGCCAAAGCTTTTGTAATCTTTTTACCTAAAGGTAAATGAAAATAAGATAGGTCAGACTGGGATAATTTTGAAAGCAAGAGGTTACTAACTTCTCAAGGTACCTTTTAAATAAAGAGCTGCCAAAATATCTATATGCCTATATTCATATGCTTAATATTTCAATTCAATGACTGATAAAATATCAATATAATTCATTACACATTTTTCCAGAGATAAATAGTAGTTAAATATTTTTAGCTTTTTTTTTAGTACCAGATTTAACATAATCCTTACAGGGGGAAGGGAACCAGCTTTCAAATTGAGCTGACTGTTTTCTAATGTATTGCCAGACCTCAAGCTAAATGGCGGCTGCCCCAAAATATAGTATATGGGCGTGGGAGCTTGAAGAGTAAATAGGAGTCTTTTTTTTTTCTTTTTCTTTTTGCTAAATGCTGAGAATAAAATTATTTTCTTTGGTGTATACGTTGTACAGTTTGGTATTTGAATTATAGAAAATGCTTTTCAGGGAGAACACAGACCTATTTCATTATGACAGGAAGGACATTTCAAAAGCATATTATCAGTGGGGATTATTCCCTCTCAAGGTGATGAGACACCCGGATCATGTGTCATCCACCGTCTATTTGTGGGCTCACCATGAGAAGCTTGTCATCATTGACCAATCGGTGGCCTTTGTGGGAGGGATTGACCTGGCCTATGGAAGGTGGGACGACAATGAGCACAGACTCACAGACGTGGGCAGTGTGAAGCGGGTCACTTCAGGACCGTCTCTGGGTTCCCTCCCAGTAAGTATATTTAACCTTTATGGAAATGTATAACACGAACATAATTTGTATAAGTTTGTATTAGTAGCATGACTGATTGATTCATTGAATAAGAGATGGTGTCTCCTTGGAGGGGAAAAGAACATTTTAAGTCAATCATGAGACAGACCTGGTTTCAAACACCAGCTTCCCCACCTAGCTAGCTGTAACTTAGCATTGCTGAGTCTGTTCTTCTCTTGTAAGAAAAGAAAACAGATTCAGTGGAATTTTGGCTGTCCCATATTCAGCTTTGTTTTCCATTTTAATTAAGATTTATTTTTTATTCAGAAATAAGATTCATAAACAAAAATATGTGGCAATTGAGATTTAGGTAGTAAAAAGCCTTAAGTATCTGCCACAGTTTTTGGAAAGTTCCTACTTAAAGATATACAAAAACAGGATAGGTCAGTCTGGGGTCATTTAGAGGGAATTTGAGCCAGAAGTGAATAACTTCCCAAAGTGCCTTTTAAATAGAGCTGCCAAAATATCTGTATGTGTATATCAATCTGCTTGCTATTTCAACTAAATGGCTGCCAGAATATGAATACACTTATTAAAAAAAGTGTATATCAATCTGCTTGCTATTTCAACTAAATGGCTGCCAGAATATGAATACACTTATTAAAAAATTTGATGGGCTTCATCTTATTTACTGCTGGAAAATAGTGCAAAACTTATGCAAAAATAGCAATTTAGTGCATAAGGAACAGGGAAAATGATTGACAGAGGAAGCCTTGCTTACTTAATGTTTATTAGAGGAACAAGTTCAGGAGCTCAACACTGAATGTAACCCATGTAATTGTATTTGAGATTAAAAGTTTAATTGGAGTGAAATTTCAAGAATTTGGCCTACTGAAAAAAGACCATAGCAGAACTCCTCATATTCCTTTGGTAGTTTTTAAACAGTTCACAAGAATCCACCACTACCCTGTGGCTGACCTCAGACATTATTGCATGTCTGTTATAGAACCTCCATCATTTGTAAACTTTATACTTCAGCTCTACTTGAATTAAAGAACCACACTGCAGCATGTCTTATGCAGTGTCTTTTTTTAAAAAAAAATTTTTCTCAGCCTGCCGCAATGGAGTCTATGGAATCCTTAAGACTCAAAGATAAAAATGAGCCTGTTCAAAACCTACCCATCCAGAAGAGTATTGATGATGTGGATTCAAAACTGAAAGGAATAGGAAAGCCAAGAAAGTTCTCCAAATTTAGTCTCTACAAGCAGCTCCACAGGCACCACCTGCACGACGCAGATAGCATCAGCAGCATTGACAGCACCTCCAGTAAGTCATGGCCTTGACTAGAATTTATCTTAACTACCCACTGTTCTTCCATAGCCAGACACTACATACCTGTTTTTAAAATCTGTCTTTCTGTAATGGAGTAGAATGAGCAATGTTGAGAGGTCGCTATATCATTCTATTCAACCTCATGCCATTTGGTGGCTTTGTTTGCCTCATTTTAGAACAGATTTATTGTTTTATCCACACAAAAGTCATAACGACCACGATTACCACTTCTAATGGTAGCAGAATGACAAAGGGTTTCTAAAATATGCCAAGCCATAAAAGAAAAAGGTATTAGATGTACTTTATAAACTTTTCTTAGAAGAAATTACATTTATCTTCCTATCCAGAAATATATCAAGCTTATTTCGTCAAACATCAGACTTTCTACATCTTGTAAATTTACTATTCCTTTGAAATCCATCTTAAAGCCCTACAATTTTCTGTTGCACAGAATCTTAAGACTGATGTTATAGCCCTGCCTGGTTTTAAAAATGATCAGCTTTGCTTTCCAGTTTAGAAAATTTGATATTTGTATTTTTTTGTAAAAAAATTCTTAATTTCTCTAGGTTATTTTAATCACTATAGAAGTCATCACAATTTAATCCATGGTTTAAAACCCCACTTCAAACTCTTTCACCCGTCCAGTGAGTCTGAGCAAGGACTCACTAGACCTCATGCTGGTAAGTAATTTGTGAAGTGGCAGAACTCCCTTAGGCTTGAGCTTTGGTTGTGTTGTCTGCTGCATGGGCATAGTGAATGTGTTTCCAGATTGGCTTTCTGTTTGCAATTTTTATGCTACGTATATTATTGAGAGCCTGCTCTGTGCAAAGCATTCTGTAGTATCCAAGATCCCTACTCCCTAAGAACTTATAGCAGCAAAGACAAAACAGACCTAATAAGAGAAAATGCATGGCACATGCAATTCAATAGTGTCATGGAAGTTCTATGGAAGGAGGGAGGAATTCCTCTCTGATGATGCAGAAAGACTTTTTGAGGAGGGGACATTTGGGTTAGGCCTGGAAGTAATTTAATTGGGGTAGGTGATAGGAAGTCATTGCAAGTGAGGGAGGTGAGTTGAGCAAAGGTGCTGGAATGGGAAAGCACCAACTGCTTTCAAATTGTGTAAAATGCATTATTTAGCTAAAATGCAGTTTTTGATATAAGACTAAGAAGATATATGACATTCACATTTGGGAGCTGGAATTTTATTTGGTTAAAAATCTTTTTTTTTTTTTTTTTTTGAGATAGAGTCTTGCTCTGTCACCCAGGCTGCAGTGCAGTAGGGCCGTCTTGGCTCACTGCACCCTCCGCCTCCCAGGTTTTAGCGATTCTCCTGCCTCAGCTCAGCCTCCTGAGTAGCTGGGATTATAGGCGTGCATGACCGTGCCTGGCTAATTTTTGTACTTTTAGTAGAAATGGGGTTTTGCCATGTTGGCCAGGCTTGTGTTGAACCCCTGACCTCAAGTGATCCGTCTGCCTTGGCCTCCGAAAGTGCTGGGATTACAGGTGTGAGCCACCGCTCCTGGCCAGTTAAAAATCTTGAAGGCCTTTGGGTGGATGTGTCATGCTGTGTGAATTTTCAGAAATTACAATCTGATAGCCTTTGGTAAGAAGATACTCCAGATACTCGAGGAATTAATGAATGACTAATAAGTTTAACTTGTGGTGGGAATAAAGAAGGATTTGGCCGCTGGTCAGATATGGGGATAAGTAATCATCATAATAAATGACACTAGTAAGATCATAAGCTAACATTTATTTTGCACAGACTCTATCCATCACTGCCCTGAGTAGTTGCAGTGCTTGGTAGTGATATTGTCATCTCCTTTTTACAGATGAAGAAACTCAGGGTTAGAGATGATACATGACCTGCCCAATGGAGTTCCAATTTATCATCCTCCCAGTGCCCATAATTAAGACCTGTGATTTAGCAGAAATAAAGATTACTATGTTATGCTTTTTTGGCTAGAACCTAAGGCCAGGGCTCTCATGTCCTGTTTAGCAGATGAGAGTTACAGTCTAGCTCACATGCCTGAATGTGAGTCACCTGTGGCTTGCAGGTGCTAATGAACCTGAAAAATTATGCTAGACTTTGAGTAATGATTCCCAGCATTCTTTCATCTAGGGCAGGGGTGTCCAATCTTTTGGCTTCCGTGGACCACATTGGAAGAAGAATTGTCTTGGGCCACACATAAAATATACTAACACTAATGATAGCTGATGAGCTAAAAAAAGTTGCAAAAAAAAATTACAATGTTTAAGAAAGTTTGTGAATTCGTGTTGGGCCACATTCAAAGCCATCCCGGGCCGCATGTGGCCCACAGGCTGTGGGTTGGACAAGCTTGGTCCAGCTACGCTGCATTTTAAAAAATGCAATAATCAACTACACACAATGAACTAAAACTTCAGTGTAACTGTTAAATAAATTTGTGTCTATAAATCATAACAGCATCGATATATATTTAAGAATGGAGAAGAGGCCAGGTGCAGTGACTCACACCTGTAATCCCAGCAATTTGGGAGGCTGAAGCAGGAGGATTGCTTGAGCCCAGGAATTCAAGACCATCTTCGGCAACGCAGTGAAACCCCCTCTCTACAAAAATTAGCTGAGTGTGGTGGCATGCATCTGTTGTCCCAGCTTTTCTGGCAGCTGAGGTGGGAGAATTGCTGGAGCCTGGAAGGCAGAGGTTGCAGTGAGCTGAGATCATGCCACTGCAGTCCAGCCTGGGTGACAGAGGGAGACCCTCTCTCACACACACAAAAACAATTTTTAAATTTTTGAAAAATAAAAATGGAGAAGAACAAATATGGGGAGACATATATTTATTTAGCATACACCTAGTACTGGGTGTATGTGTGGATTCAGGGACAACTCCCAGTAATTCCTGTGCATGACAAAGCTTCAAAGTCCTGGGAAGTAGGAGGCCTCTGGGAAATCTAGGAAGCCAGGTCAAGAGTGCATGCAGTGGCCGATATTAGAGGTAAAGGGTTGGAAACAGCTCCAGGTAGTGCCTTATCGTTTCAATGTGTAACTTTGCTGCTTTATTACTGAAGTTAAAAATGAAGTGGAGGAAAGGAGGTTGCCAACCCATGAAGATTATGGATCTGAATTATGACTGATAGTGTTGCTGGCAATAGGATTGACAGCAAGTGGAAAAGATGTGAGTGAGGTGCTGAGTCCAGTAAGTAACTCACGCCTACCCCAGGTTGACAGAGGTGATATCCACAGTGGTGATCTGAGACACTGATCATACATGTGTATGGTGTTGCTGATGAAAAGTACCCTTGACATCTGTTTACAACCCCTCACTGATAAACTGAATATATGTCTAGTGTAGCATTGTTGAGAGACAGAGAGAGAGATAGAGAGAGAGAACAACCTAAACGTCAAAGAGTAGGGAAATGGTGAAGAACATAATGAATGGTAACAAATGGTTCATCTCTTTTATGGAATTGGGCAATGATTACAACTGTAGTTGGGGATACAAAAATAAACATAGAAGATTTATTTATTTAATTAAATAAGTGTTTATTGAGTTTCTGTTATATGCCAATCACTATTCTGGGTGCTAGAGATGTGGTGAATAAAACAGATGAAGTGCAATTAACTAGTTGGAGGGTAAGGATGGGAACTGTGTATACAAATAGAGAGTCAAACACATTTCAGGTGGTGATAATTATCACGGAGAATAGTTGAGCATGATCCGGGAGGAAGAGCATAGGAGAAGAGTTACTATTTTGTAAAGGCTCATCGGAGAATACATCTCTCATGAGGTTAGTTTTCAGCTGACATCGAAAGAAAGAGAAGAATGAGGATAAGAAACTGAGAGAGGGTGTTTCCGACAGAAGGAATAGCAAGTATGAAAGGCCATGAGGTAGAGGGGTTGGGTGTGTTCCAGGAATACGGCTGTAGTGAAGTGGGCTAGGAGAGGATGATAAGAACAAAATCAGAGAGGTGGGCTGGGGTGGGTTATGTGAGGTCTTGCAGACCACTGTAAGATTTTGACCCTGAGTGAGATAGGAAGTCATCGGATGGTCTTGAGCGAAGGGTAGGCGAGGGCTGACTTACATTTTCCAAGGATCATTCTTCAGAGCAGACCAGGGTGGCAAATGGTGACTCTGCAGGTTGTGAATATATTTTGAGGGTCGAGCTGACAGCATTTGCCGATGAACTAGATACAAGATGTGAGAGATGGAGAGGACTCCAAATCTTTGGCCCCACTGGAAAGATGGAATTTCCATGAACTGAAATGAGGTGGCTATGGGAAGAGCAAGGAAAATTTGAGGACAATTGCCACTGTATCAAAATATGTTCGTGAAGGCAGCTGACAAAGGACATTCAATGATGCTATCTTTGTTAGGAAGATGGAGCGTGAGGTGATTTATTTTTTTCCCACATTGTTGGTACTGTTTTCATTTTACTTTTATAGTCAAATATAAATACAAATTTAATTTTTTAAAATGAAAACAGTTTACCTAAAAAGAAAAGCCAAAGGATCATGGGGTCCTTCTAGAGCAGTGCTTTCCAAAGTCGATTCCTTGGATCCTGGAGTTTTTAAAAGGCTTTGAGGAGAACATTGAAGTAGGTGAACCCCAGGACCCTCCCACAGCTATTGGTACCTCTTCAACCAGAACAATCCCACTTGTATCTGTTTTAATTATTGGAGTTCCTTCTGAACTTGTTTTCAAAAAAGAAAAGTTCTACTAAAAAAATGAAGGAAGTTTAAAGAGCAAGGCTCTAGATTTAAATCATGTAATACCTTAAAAACTCAGGTTGCCTTATAAAACTTGAAACCCAAATTAAGCATGGAGTGACTCTTCGTTAGAAATTTAAAACTGAATATGAACTTGAGTTAATGACTTCCTTTTCCTGAGAATGCAAAGAGAGTTAGCCTCTCTGCAATATCAATTTCACTTGACCGCATATGACCATGTTGAATTGGGCTCCTTGTTGAATTAAACCTCCTGGTGTCATACAGAAATCAGTGTGGAGTGAACATCACTATGGGTTTTTATATAGAAAAACTGCACTAAAAACGTGGTTAGGAATCATATCTGAAATATATGTTTTTCAAAATCACTCAGTCATTTTCAAGATTTTTTTTCATTCAGAATTATGTTCTAAGAGGGAGAATTTTGCTTGATACTATTTTTAAAGTGTTGAATTTTATTCCCTTTCTTTCTTTCTTTCTTTCTTTTTCTTTCTTTCTTTCTTTCTTTCTTTCTTTCTTTCTTTCTTTCTTTCTTTCTTTCTTTTTCTTTCTGTATTATACTTTAAGTTCTGGGATACACGTGCAGAACATGCAGGTTTGTTACATAGGTATACAAGTGCCACAGTGGTTTGCTGCACCCATCAACCTGTCATCTACATTAAGTGTTTCTCCTAATGCTATTCAGCAACTATGTGCTGATCTTTTCCTTTTAAGCAATATTAAATAGGTAAGTGAGGGAAAAATTATTTTTGCAATTTAGTTGAGACAGGCTTTTCAAATTTGAATGTCTCGTCACAAGGGATAATATTAAGCTGTTTCTAAACTGTTCTTAGGAATGCAATGGATAGGATGTGTAAGATTCATCTAGTGCTGTTAAATAGCTTGTTATCTAATAGGTGAGCATGAGTTTTAAATATTTTACAAACCTAATATTTTAGTAATTCATTGAGGGAAGATACTCCTACTGCAAGAGTCATCATTGATCCACAGACGAAATACAGGTCTACAAACCCTTAACCACGATTCTAAATTCCAAAAAATTTTGAAAACCAAAATATTTTTTAAAATATAACTTGTTCAGTGCCTGTATTGGAACTGGCCTTGAACATATGTAGAAATTCGGTAGGTAGAGACTAAAAAGGTAGAAAAACAGGCATTTTAGGTAGATACTACATCTTAAGACCCAGATATAGGAAATGCAAAAGTATTTATTTCGGCATCTCAGACTGAGTGTAGAATGTGGTAAATACATATAGGTCTATAATCTCTCATACAAAATCCTTGGAATCAGATTTCAGAAATCAGAAAGTTCTGGATTTTAGAAAGGTAATACAATACCTATACCCTCTACTATATTACACTCCCAGCAGGATCCAGGAAATACCTGGAATGTAGGCAAACCATTTATGTTTGTGCAACACCAAGTGGGATCAATAAAGATAATAAATAACCTCTTGTCAGTTCAGGTCAGATTTTGCTGACCTGTGAGTTATGAAATGAGCTGTGAAAATCAGCTATGAAAAAACATTTGAATTGTTAGAACTTTTGGAGTTTTGGAATTGTGGTTAAGGGCTGATTTGTGCAGATTGAGCTGGTGGGATATATCTGTAGCAGTTTACGGAGGACTTTGAAAATCAGACTGAGACATTGCACCTCTTCCATTAAATGTTGGAAAATCCCTAGGGGCAGGGAGCAATTAAGGGTGAGGCTTTATAGCGTTTATAGTAGAGACACAGGGAGTCTGACAAGGTTGTGTCAGTGAGTTCAAGAACGAAGTAAATGGGAGAAACTTTTTCCAAAAGCAGAATCAGCAGATTTTCATCATGATCTGGGAAGCCGTGGGGAGGTGGGTGGAGAAGTCAGCGAAGAATAAAGGAGCCAAAGGTGATTCCGAGGTTTGAGCTTGAGTTACTACACACAGACAGCAGAAATCTCAAGGAAAGACTTGATTTTATGGAATGATGATGATTTTAGTGTTAGACATAATTTTAAAGTTCTGGAGGGAACTAGGTAAACAATGTCAAGTGAGGCACTGGAAGTGACCTTAGATTTGGAGTCCAAAACAGAAGCCATCCTTGCAGGTGCACATTTTAGAAATTGTATAGAAAAAGACAGGAGAGGCCGGGTGTGGTGGCTCACGCCTGTAATCCCAGCACTTTGGGAGGCCGAGGCAGGCAGATCACGAGGTCAGGAGTTCGAGATGAGCCTGGCCAACATGGTGAAACCCTGTCTCTACTATCAAATACAAAAATTAGCAGGGCATGGTGGTGTGCGCCTGTAATCCCAGCTACTCGGGAGGCTGAGGCAGGAGAATTGCTTGAACACTTGGCCCTGGGAGGCAGAGGTTGCAGTGAGCCGAGATCGTGCCACTGCACTCCAGTCTCAAAAAAAAAAAAAAAAAAAAAAAAAAGAGGAAGAAAAAGAAAACAAAAAGACAGGAGAAAGGGGGAAACCTTGTTAGTGAGGAGGAGCTAGGAAAGAAGAACAAGGATAGGCTGGAGAAATGGTAGAAAAATGGAGACCTGGAAGCCGAGAGATGAGAATAGAAGGAGGAGGATGTGGCACGACCAGAGGACACCAGGCAAGGAACAAGAAGTCCCCCTTCTCATAAACTTTAGTAGCCAGAATCTGAGCCACTGACAGAGGAGGATGCAGAAAATTGGCCTGACAAATCTGTGCCAAAAGACAAGGCAGGTGCAATTATGAAATCATTTGGGAGCCAGATAGCAGCCTAACGAGACCCCCTTGGATCAGCATTGTTGATGCCATAAGTCCTCTCGACCACACTCATGTAATTCTGAGCTACTGTTTTCACAGGAACTAGTATTTGGCTCTATTGCCTTAATAGTTCATTTGTACTGAGGAGGAACCCTAATTTATGTGGAATAGTTTTTAGGCCATGGCTAAAAACAAAAACAAATTTGAATTATGAGCAGGTTGAATTCAATTAGTACCAAGATAATTTCCTGAGACTAAGAATTTCCTTTATTTTCCTTATCATAACTGGTTGTTAGGTGAAAGATAATTTTTAAATGAGTGTATATGTGTTTATGTAAAGCCTTAGCTTAGAGTTTTGCAGTTGATGAAAGCAAATTGTATATGTGTATTTTATATTTGAAATTTGAAATATTGTTTATCTCATTTTTCATCCCTTTTGTTTCTTTTCTCACCCTCTTTTCTTCTTTTAACAAAGTGCTATGTAAACAATAAAGAGCCTATAGATGAGCAAACAGACCTACCCGTACTTTGGCCTTTCAGTCTCATAAAGCAGGAAAATAAATCACTGGGAGAAGTCAATAGAAGTCTATTTTTAACATGATTTCATTTTGCTAATCTATGGCATTTTAAATCATTTTTCTTCTGTAGAAAACTTTAATAGCCTTTGAAAGGTTAATGATTCAGTTTGAGATAGAATATTAGCATTGTGTGTGGTGATTACATAAAAACATTTGTTCTGCAAATATTTATTGATTGCCTGGGTGCTTGGAGCTACTGGCAGTGAGAAGATTTGGTTCCCACTCCCAAAGAGTTTATAGACTGGTGAGGCATTGATGCGGGCAGGGGAGCATCCTGATACAATTGCGTCACAGAGTCAGAGGTGTTGGGGCAGTTGTTAGTGGGATGACAGCAGTGCTAGTGACTGCCTCTTCCTTATGGGGAGATGGCAGGTGATAGCTAATGTGGCTCTTGAAGGATGATTAGGATATCAGGCCAAGAGGGAGAAAGGAGCATTTCAGGTAGAAGTAATAATGTGCCAACTGCATGGAGACATGGCAGTCCACACCTGTTATAATACAGTGAAACACGTGATTTGCATGGGGCCTGGGGTTGGGTGGGGAAAAACAAGGACTAGAAAGATAGATTGGCACCAGTTTGGGAAGAGTCTTCTATGCACACTAAGCCCTTAGGACTTGAGCTTCCTATAGGCAGTATGTGAACCTTCCAGGGTTTTAAGCAAAGAGTGCATTTTACAAAGACAGTTCTGGGACAGTGTGTTGGTGGCAGGACCAGTGTAGTCCTCTCACTGGCTACTGCAAGCAGTACCATTTATTCATTCAACACATATTTTTGCATTCAGTGTCTATTTGTTAAATGCCTCTTTTGTGCCAAGTGCTGCGTTTGTGATTTGTAATTCTGCATCTTTTTACTTCATTGTCTTTGTATTTAGCCGTAAGTCAATGGTCTCGGCACAGTTATTTGTGAAATGCTATAGTAGATTGCTGCTTTTGCACCTATATCATAAGCTTTCATCTGTTGTTACCATATTTTTTATAAATGCCATCTATGATTTGAAGTATATAAATGTTAAAGCGCAACAGATTTTAGCTGTTATCTAGGCCAAATTCTTCATTTTACGCATAATGGATTTATGATCTAAAAAACTGAAGCTCAGTGTCACTTAGCTAATTAATTCCAGGGCTGGAACATGGGCTATCTGTAAATTTGAGGTTCTTGCTTTAATGCAAAAGAATTATGCATCAGGTGTGCACCATGTTGGTTGAGGAAAAAGAAGTGGCATGGTGTCTTTATTGCCCCTGCGTCTCAGGTTTCTCCACCTCTCCCCTCCCCGCCCTTCCCACTCTGCCCCTGAAAGCCCCCCACCAGCTTTACTGCTCTCATAGTGCCACCTTGTGAGTTCTTTATTCACAGTTAATTCTGTGATAGTTCTTCCAGTGATCTGGTAGGTGGTGGAAATAAGTTACTCAACTGCCTGAGAAGGTCAAATTTCATTGTTTAATGATGAATCTTGTTGTAGCCCTAACTGCCCACTAAAAGTAAACTTGTAAGGACTGTAAAACCTTGTTAGCCCACAGCCTGTAATAGAATGGACAGATGCCACCCTAGTTGTGTCTTAAGAAATTAAGAAGCTTTTAGGTGTTTAATAAATGAGAGTTGAGCCTCCCTTTCTGGGACTCACCTGAACCACAGTCTCTGAGGGGGTCTTGCTGCATTCACAGATACCGGGTCCATCCGTAGTTTACAGACAGGTGTGGGAGAGCTGCATGGGGAAACCAGATTCTGGCATGGAAAGGACTACTGCAATTTCGTCTTCAAAGACTGGGTTCAACTTGATAAACCTTTTGCTGGTGAGTATCATAATGGTGGGGTGCTGGTTATATTTTGTCTTTTACCTTTGAACATCTCAGCAAGTATACATGTGCATGATCTAAATGCCTTTTGTTTTGCTTCCGTTGATTTTTGAAAATTTTTTAAAACTTTGGAGACTAGATTTAGTCATTAGCATGTGCTTAAGGACTTTTTTTTCAGTTATAATAAGAAAAGAACATGAAATAGAGCTGAACTGTCTGAAAAATCCAGATTTTTATAGGCATATTTTGGGGGCAATAATCAGTAATTTTTCAGGAAATGGTAGGCTCCCTTTGATCATCTTCTATTCTGCTTATTTCCTGCATTTCCAGCGTTAGAATGGCATATTTTCAGGTTATCACTGGGTTTATATGTTTAAGAGGAGATAGAGATGGCATTGCCTGCCATTGTTTCAACAGGATAAAAAATAAAAAATATAATATCAAATACACAGCCTTAGATAATTTGTACCAACTCACATCTTGCCATGTCTAGTGATTATCTAATCCTAAGTGAAACGGAAACATATGTGGGGAAGTGCCTGGGAGACTATGTCCCTGAATGTGAAATCTGTTTCCCTTGATTATAAAAATGTTGTTCTATGCAAGCCAAGAAATATATACCTAGTGGGCACTAACCCACGTTTCCTTTTAGTTTCATAGTTGGAGTCAGAGAGACTTTGCCCCAACACTGAAGTTAATGACTGATCCTTGCCTGGTGCACCCGGGCAGATTTCATTGACAGGTACTCCACGCCCCGGATGCCCTGGCATGACATTGCCTCTGCAGTCCACGGGAAGGCGGCTCGTGATGTGGCACGTCACTTCATCCAGCGCTGGAACTTCACAAAAGTACTTGGATGTTGCTATCATGATTTATCCACATGAAGAGAGGCAGGCCTAACTAGAGAAGAGGTTTAGAGGAGGCTGGTAGCAAGAAGAGACTGTTGTGGCCACAACTGTGTCACTGCTCTGCTGTTGGCTGCATTGATGTCCGGGTGCCTGGGCATCTGGGCAAAAAAAAAGGGAAACATTCCCGAATGTCCACACCATAGACAATTCAGAGTGCCTAGGGACAGGTGCTGCTGTGTGGGTCCTGATTTTAACCTTGTTAACATCTTGGACACAGTGTTGACTAAGCATTTAGTAGCCTGGGCTCGGTAGTCATTTGCAGGGCTGTTATAGGGGGATAGGAGCCTGGTTTAGATGAGAGGGCTTGAGCTTTAAAGTCCCATCCAGTTGGATGGGACTGGAATTGCACTGGGTTTATATTGGTACAGGATTCTGAGAGCTGGTTCTGAGCAAACCAAGAAGTATTAAGAAGGTGGGGCCATTTTCCTTTTATCCAGATTGTGTCCTCATTACTTGTAAGAACTTGACATAACATTCAAACCTAACATTCATAAGTTAAGTACGTATCATTCAGGCCAGGCACGGTGGCCCACGACTGTAATCCTGGCACTTTGGGAGGCCTAGGCTGGTGGATCACCTGAGGTCAGGAGTTCGAGACCAGCCTGACCAACATGGTGAAAACCTGTCTCTACTAAAATACAAAAATTAGCTGGGCATGGTGGTGGGTGCCTGTAATCTCAACTGCTCTGGAGGCTGAGGCAGGAAAATCACTTGAATCCAGGAGGCGGAGTTTGCAGTGAGCTGAGAGGACTCCATTGTACTCCAGCCTAGGCAACAGAGCGAGACTCTGTCTCAAAAAAAAAAAAAAAAAGTACATATTCAGGTGTTATTAAAGTTTCACTTTATTTACTTGAAGGGATAATGAGTCATGATTCCCCTTGGTCGTTTGGAAAAAGAATTTAGTTTTATCAACCACTTAGAGTCTAACTTTGTTTTTCATTCACATAATGATTATAAAAATTTAGTGGACATTCTAATTGAAATTTTTTAACAAAAATTTAGGGGAGATGGATGAATAAACAAATGGGGTGTTACTTTTAACCTGCTATACTGGCAAAGATAAAAGTCTCTGCTGATACCTGTAGTTAGGTTTGGGGTGGTTTTTGTGGTGTGCTCATACATGCTACCCCAGGGAGGATAAATTTGTACAACACCAATAAGTCTTTTTTAAAGTATGCAATCTTTGATCCAGAAAAACTATTTCCGGGTATTCAAACTAAAGCCATAATCCAATAAGGTAATTTATTTTGATATGGCTTCTAATAATTCAAATAAAATTAGAAATAACAGAAATCCTTACTAATAGGAATTTATTAAACAAATGATTCTTTTATACCATTTTACTATGAAGTTATTAAAAATAATGATATCCCACTATATTGCTGTGACAAGATATCTAGAACATAATCAGTAAAAAATTAGTTTATAAAACAATAGTCTCATTTTTGCAATTATAAAGTTCTGTAACTACAGATTATATTTAACCTGTCTTTACAAATATAAAACAATATTTCCCCTACAAAAGGTAAAAACAGGACTGTGAGAAGTAGAAAACAAACACAAATAATCTGTAGCCCTTCACTTAGAAATGTCCACCATTAACATTTTTCTTTTTCTTTTTCAAATTAACCTGAATTTCTTTTCTTTTCTTTTTCTTTTTTTTTTTTTTTTTTTTGAGATGGAGATTCACTCTTGTCACCCAGGCTGTAGTGCAATGATGAAATCTCGACTCACTGCAACCTCTGCCTCCGAGGTTCAAGTGATTCTCCTGCCTCAGCCTCCCGAGTAGCTGGGATTACAGGCGCCCGCCACCATGCTTGGCTAATTTTTGTATTTTTAGTAGAGATGGGGGTTTCACCGTGTTGGCCAGGCTGATCTCGAACTCCTGACCTCAAGTGATCCCCGCTTCTTGGCCTCCCAAAGTGCTGGGATTACAGGCGTGAGCCACTGCACCTGGGCATGAATTTCTTTTATAATCACAAAGTAGGGAGAATGAATCTTTTTTCTCATTTGAATATTTTATCCTTTTTCTTTATTTTAGATTATGAAATCAAAATATCGGTCCCTTTCTTATCCTTTTCTGCTTCCAAAGTCTCAAACAACAGCCCATGAGTTGAGATATCAAGTGCCTGGGTCTGTCCATGCTAACGTACAGGTAAGTAAGTTCTGGCTTTTCTTTTTGACAAAATGCTACTGAGTAAAATTACTGTTATTGGACCAAGGGCCTATTACATTGGCTTCAGATTTTTCAATGACTGCTTTTCTAAAGCAAAACTAAATGGATCTTTTAATACTTGTTATTATATTTCCTATGTTAAATGGATTCAATTCAGTCTCTTTTTAAAACTCTTATAAATATAATAAATGCATGTCCTTAGAAAAGGCCACAGCCAAGGCTATTCCTGTAATTCCTTCTGAAGTGACCCTAGCAACATGATACCCAGTAAACCTGGACCTGATACTGCCTAAGCACCAGGAATGTGGCTGAAACTTAGCAGCTAGGAAGCTAGTTGTAGTTCAGTCTAATTTTAGTTCCTGATTAACCAAATGTCTTCTAGAGGCCCTTTTAATGGAATAAGGAATTTGCTTAATAGAGTCACAACAGTTTACCACATCCAGTTTAACCATCTCAAACTACAAATAAGAAAATTCAGACCTAGTGGGGCTCTGAGGCCTATCTAGGGCCGGCCAGCTAGTTATCAACAGAGGTGGAGCTTGAAATCCTAGTCTGGTCCAGTGTTACCCAATCTGCTTCCTTTACCAACTACAGCTCAAATATCTTGAGATCATGTGGGGACAGAAGTAGGATGGGCCACCTTTGGCATTGCCTTTTGTTTGAAGTCATCAATATGGGCATCAGAAGAATTGTTTAAGTAAAGTCCAGCAGTCTGCTACTGCTACATATCATCAGTAGGGACCATCAGTAGGGACTTATATAATGCAGACATGGATCCTAGGGAATGTGATTATATAAATGAAGTGCCTAAATCAGTTATTTTGCATCGTGTGCAATTGGAGGTATGTGTATATAAGAAATAAGACATTTCAGACTGTAGATCAAATAATAGAACTTTTTTTAAAAAAGGCCAGGTGTGGTGGCTCCCACCTGTAGTCCTAGCACTTTGGGAGGCCGAGGCGGGTGGATCACCTGAGGTCAGGAGTTCGAGACCAGCCTGGCCAACCCTGTCTCTACTAAAAATAAGAAATTAGCTGGGCGTGGTAGCGTGCGCCTGTAATCCTAGCTACTCGGGAGGCTGAGGCAGGAGAATCGCTTAAACCCAGGAGGCAGAGTTTGCAGTGAGCCGAGACTACACCACTGCAGTCCAGCCTGGGTGACAGAGTAAGAGTCCATCTCAAAAAAAAAAAGATAAGCTGCTTGAGAGAAATATCGGCAGCAAATATTAGTCATCCCAGGCTAAAAAGAAAACTAATTTAAACTCAGAGGCATAGAGATAGCTATGATTTATATGTAAGTTGATGAATATTTTATGAACCTGTTTAATTTTATTCTACGTAGAGGAGAAAAAATTACCAATGCTAGAATATAAAATAAGAAACTTGTTATTAGGAAAATAAGAATTTAAGATTTGAACTTGCATTATTATTGACGTGGTGGTCAATTTTTCAAAGTTAGCTGATGTTAATAAGTATCTGTTGAAAATGGATTGCTGGGAATTAAGTATTTTTGTAATCAATGAAGGAAGTTTTAGCATAGCGTTGCATATGCATATATTTTCCACTTCACTGTTGGTAAAGCCCTGACTCACATAGTCTCATCCTGCTGCCTGGTGAGGTCAATAGAGACTCTATAAAATGCTTCTCTTCGTTCGCTTTTTCCGCATCACTGATGTTGTGTGAGAAATGACACTAGAGTGGGTGTGGTGGCTCACGCTTGGAATCCCAGCACTTTGGGAGGCCAAGGCAGGAGGAGAGCCTAGGAGTCCAAGACCAGCCTGGGCAACATAGTGAGACCCCATCTCTACAAAAAGTTCTTAAAAAATTAGCCAGGCATGGTGGCACATGCTTGCGGTCCCAGCCACTTAGGAGGCTGAAGCAGGAGGATTGCTTGAGCCCAGGAGGTGGAGACTGCAGTGAGCCATAATTGCACCCCTGCATTCCAGCCTGGGCAACAGAGCGAGACTGACTCAAAAAAAAAAAATAAAAATAAAAACTAAAAGAAAAGAAATGAGACTAGATCTGATAAGCTCATATGTTAATCCCTCACATGTTCAGGTGGCCTGGACTCAAGAATCTACAAAGCCAAGGATATTTAACAAGACTTACTCACTCATTCATTCATTTATTCAGCCAACATATGTTTACTAAGTGTTGTCCGTTTGCATGGTGAAGTCATCAAAGCACACTTGGGTGTCGAGAGGGCAGACAGCAAAGGAGTTCTTTGCCTCTGGAAACTTAGTTAGCTGGGGAGAGATAGCTGAGATGAATAATTCAGTTACAGTGCAAGGTATGGTCTCTGAGTAAATGCTGGTGTGACAGTAAGGACCAGCATGCTGTAAGAGTTTGGAAATCCAGAGGGACAGAACTGGGTGTCCACTCTAAGGAATAGTCCTGCTTGCTCAGAAGACAAAAGGACTGACTGCAGTAACCCATTCGCTCTTAGAGAGGCACTGATGAAGTTAGACAGCATAAGGCCAGGGCGGGGGCGGGGTGGGGGCTACACCTGGAGTGCTGTCCTAGTGAATTTGGACCTGGTCCTAGAAGTGCTAGTGAACTTTGGATGTTTTTTTTTTTCGATTGGGCAAGAAGCATGATGCAGGAATGTTCAATGAAGATTAATGGAGGAGAGAGTTTTCCAAACTGAATTTACCTGTGAGATGCTGATAACTATTCCACAAAGATTTCCATGGACAGATAAGGTTTTGCAGAATTCTTTAATACAGGACTCCTTAGCACCTTTTTTATGCTACAGTGTATTATAAAACCACCAAGAAGGAATATGATGTGCGCATTTCCCAAGCTTATTTGACAGAGAATCTCTTGTTTTATGCATTCTTATCTGTTTCCATCTTTCCAAACAAATACCTTGAGACCAAATGTTTATACACATGAAGAACTTATTAGACTAGAGAGATAATGAGAGCAAGGGGACAAGTGAAGAGGCTATTACAGTAATTCTGACATATAATTAAGTCCTAAACTAGAAATGAAGAGAAGGAACAAATAGGAGGTATTTTTGAGGAAAGAGACAAAGGGACATCACGACTAGGAACTAACTGAAAATTTGGGACAGAGGAAAAAGTTAAAGATAGTTTAGTGTCACAAAGTCTCCAAAGAACCATAGGAACTGTGTCATGACTGATGGGCCAGGGCACTAATTGAGATCACCAAAGGACTCAGGTAGCTCCTGTAGTACATCTAGTTCTTGGTAATATAAATTTTGCAGCATGATAATGGATATATAAAATGGGTATATAAAAGTGTCGCTAGGCAGTGCTGCTGGAAATATCCAGCTAAATATAATAACATGCATTTTCACGCTAACAAATCATAAAAGCACACAAGGTGGTGTGGTATGAAGATTGTATAGCAGCATGTGGCCTCAGCATGCCATTACCCCTCCCTGAGCCCAGTTTTGTCATCTGAAAGACTTATGTTTGGTATGAATCTGATCTGAGTCCCTTCAGACATTTAAAGGGAAAATTTTCATTCATTGTCTTTCATACAAGAGGTATCATTCAAAGTACAGGTGTTAATGACTTTCTATTTAATCCTCCTGCTATAGTTATGATCCCTCACAAAATAAAACTCAAATGGCCACCACAGATACACTTCTTAATTTTTAAAGTAGTTAGAATGACACTTATCACTAAATAGAAATAGAAGCCATTGCTCAGAATTTTTACCTTGATCATTAAACTTGTTTCTATGGATCTTTGAGAGAAAAGGAAAATATCTAAGTAAATTAAAACATCATAGGTACATTTAGCCACATGGCAGTGATAAATAGGACAAAAATTAAAAGGAAGGATAAGAGTTAAGAAACTAGGACATCACTGATGAACTCTTAAATTCCAAGATTATAAGATTATAATTTATTTTATTCCTCTGGTCCTGAAAACCTGCTATTTCTATAATTAGCTTTTTGCCATCTCAGTGCCTAAAGTAAAATCTCCTACAGACTGGCTGGAGTTAAGGCTGTAAGTAGGGAATGAATTGCTCCCTTCAGGAACTCATGTTCCTTGCAGCTTCAGGCCCTTGCTTAGCTTTAGGACCCTCAGCCACCCAGGCCTTTTCTAGACCTGTTCTCAGCTTTATATTTGTAAATTTGCATTGATTTTATTAAAGAGGCCTCAGGGTATTTGGAGTGTCATGATCTCAAGTCTTCTGTTATTTCTATGTGTTTGGAACATTTCATGTCCTCTCGTCCAGCTCTTTTGAAATACCAATACACTGTTGTTAACTATAGTCAACCTGCTCTGCTATTGAATACTAGAACTTATTCCTTCTATGTTTGTACCCATTAACCATCCTCTCTTTATCTCCACCCTATTCCCTGTACCCGCCTACACAAACCCTTCCCAGCTTCTAGTTTCTATCATTCTACTATCTACTTGCATGAGATTGACTTTTTAAGCTTCCACATATGAGTGAGAACAAGATTTTAACATAGTTGACTGTTCATAATGTAACTTAGAAGCCACAAGCTTATTTAATTGTGAAGAAAAATATAAGGTAGCAATTAAGGGATAGATTCTAGAGCCAGACTGTGTTAACATCTCAGCTCTGTGACATATGAGCTGTGTAACCTCGGGAAAATTACTTCACTCTGCAGTATGTTTCATTCATTTAAAAAACATAAATGACAGTATCTGTCTCACAGGATTGTGGTGATGGTTAAATTAATCCATGCAAAGCATTTAGAAGAGTATACCAGTTTGAGTTCCATCAAAAACAGCCTTCAAGCTTTCGCTAGTGTTTCAAAAGTTTGCAACAGGCTGGGCGCAGTGGCTCAGGCCTGTAATCCCAGCACTTACGGAGGCCAAGGCAGGTGGATTACTTGAGGTCAGGAGTTCGAGACCAGCCTGGCCAATATGGCAAAACCCCGTCCTACTAAAAATACAAAAATTAGCTGGGCGTTATGGCGCATGCCTGTAATCACAGCTACTTGAGAGGCTGAGGCAGGAGAATCGCTTGAACCCAGGAGGCAGAGGTTGCAGTGAGCCGAGATTACACCACTGCACTCCAGCCTAGGCAACAGAGCAAAACTCGTCTAAAAAACAAAAACAAAAAAAGTTTGCAACAAAGAAGTTAACATTTCTCTGGGTAGGTCACCAAGCTTGTTCTAGATAGAAATTTTTATGCCATAAATCTATTGGAATGGGGAGAAAGAGTATTTGACATAATAAAGTAAATAATAGATAAAATTCAAGTTATTCTTTCTTCTGGAGAAGGGCACCTAGTTATTAATTTTTTTAATACAGAAACATTGGTCACACGCCACTGGCAATTCCAGAGGGGGAGACACAGCCAGCCAGGGAGAGGGGAGCTACGGCAGGCAGTATGGATGCCTGCCCACCAGCACGAATTGCTGCTCCTGAAAAAGTTATCTAGACCTGACAGCTGACTTCAGCAGCTTCCACTGTACTTTTAAAAGAATCTTGGATGTTTCCCCTCAGTGCTGGGCCTTCTCAGAAGCCTGCCAAGAGCACTCAGAGAAGACATGGCAGGAAAAGGCATGGGTAGCAGGAGGAAGTGGGAGAGATGGTCCTGAAACTGCTTCTACACAGAGAAGGTGAAGGAACTAGAATAAACTCAGTTCCAGAATGGTCTTAATGGCATTTAAGATATATTATAAAGACAGAGGATATTTGACATGTCTATTAAGCTGAAAGAAAATGCTGAATGCCGTGTCAGCATCAACATGGGGTCAACACATGGGAACAATCCTTTTTAAAGCTCATAGTAGAAACCATTCCTTGGACAGTCATGCTGAGAATTCCTGCCTATATGGAAATAACTCTACTGGAATAATGTCTTCAGTCCTACTTATGGGAAAAGAAGGAAAGAAGGAAGGGAGGGAGGAACAAAGAAAGGAAGGAAGAAAGAATGAGAAAGGAGGAAAGGGAAAAAGGAGAGAGGGAGAGAGGAAGGAAAAAAAAAGAAAATTTTCAAGAAAGTATAAATAACATCCAAATTATACCACTGAAAAAAAATTGTTTTCACGCTTGGAATAAATGTCCAAAGGATATTCCCAAGGATCTGTTAGATCTGAAAGGACAGCAAAATGTTTTGTATCCCAGAATGGTGTGAGAGAATAAAGTAGATAGGTGAAAAATAAAGTGAGCAGGTGGGGGTAAAAGGAATCCACCTTGTCCATTTCCATGGAAGTTATTTACCATGGGAGTTGTTTTCCATGTATGGGCCAGGCCTTCATGGACTAACACGTTTGTGAGTGTTACTGTGGGTCTTGGCTAGAAGAGCTGATATGAACAGGGCATTTGCTGTGTGCTTGGCACTGTGCTAACCCTTTGTGCATTATCTCATATACATTCAGCAGTCTGTAAGCTAAACTCCTGTGCAGCCTGTTTCTACAGATGAGGAAACTGAGACTTTGAGAGGTTAAAATAACGGTAACTAGTGGGGGTCTAGTGCGGTGGCTCATGCCTGTAATCCTAGCACTTTGGGAGGCCAAGGTGGGCAGATCACCTGACGTCAGGAGTTCGAAACCAGCGTGGCCAATGTATTGAAACCCTGTCTCCACTAAAAATATAAAAATTAGTTCAGCATGGTGGCATGGGCCTGTAGTCCCAGCTACTCAGGAGGCTGAGGCAGGAGAATTGCTTGAACCCGGGAGGCAGAAGTTACAGTGAGCAGAGATCACGCCATTGTACTCCATCCTGGGCATCAGAGACTCCATCTCAAAACCACAAACAGTAAGTGGTGGGGATGACTTGCTTCTAAGCAGTTTGGCTTCAGTGCCTGAGGTTAATTAGCTATGGATACTGTTTCCAGTAAGACCAGGATGGTTGTAACTGCTGGGGCTCTAGCAGAGCAAAGTTTCATGTCCTGTTTGCCTTTGGGTATCACCTTCTGTTGCCACAGCCCCAAATCCATCCCTAACTCTCCTTTTGCTTCTTTCTGGCTCCCAAGAACACCCAACTAATACTGTGTTTCCTAGGACTTCTTTCACCTTAAGTCCTATTCTTCAATAATTATCTTTTCTTTCTGTCCTTCAGCCTCAAAATTAACTTTTCTCTTTTGTTCAGGAAAGGAATCATCCTATGTGAATAACTGCACACTGTGATATGAATGGCTGACACTCAACTAGAAAAGTGGCTATGAAAAGAAAGAGCTTGATAAGATGAGACAGGTTCTTGAACTAGGTCAATTTCTTGATGCTCCTTGCCTGCTGTTCTCAGTACAGTCTGGAAGAAAAAGGCCCGACAATCAGAGGCTTCCCTTCTCTCCCCAATGCATACCACTTGTGAGCTTCTACACAGTTGGCCTCTGCTTGTGAAACATATAAAAAGTGCTTTTGTCCTAAATAGTCTTTGTTCCATGATTGACTTGGAATCTCAGGGAAATAAAAAGGAATTCATATATGTGCTGAATTTATAGGGAATAAAAGCATTATGATGAGAGAAAGGAAGGGAATTTGGGACAAATACTAAGAAAGATCCAAAGGTTTTCCTTCAGAAAGAAATTTCTGTTATTTAATCCATACATTTGACTTGGGCCCATAGGATGGAAGGTGATTAGGGATTGTGGTTAAAGAGAAGGCTATATTTTAGGTTAAAAAATAAGACGTAGCACGAAGAAAATGACTAGTCCAAGTTACAGCTTTGAGGTTAAACCATAAAATCAGAAATATGCCATTTTTTATATATTTTAAAATTATGTATTCAAACTCGTGGTTTGAAAAGTATAGATTAGATTTGATTCCCAGCACATTTGGGACGGTAAGATAAGCTATATTTTTGCATGTGAGGGAACAGTTTGAGGGTTATCTCAGTTACATTGGTTTAAAACAGAAATGCAAGACAAGTTGGTGAAGTCAGTGAAGAAAATGAAGAGAGTAAATATTAAAACAAAAGGAAATCTCAGTGGCAATGGAAAAAGGTGAAAAAATAAAACAAAAGGAAATCAATCAAAATGGGTGATAATGGTTTGGCTCTGTGTTTCCACACAAATCTCACCTTGAGTTGTAATAATCCCCCACATGTCATGGGAGGGACCCAGTGGGAGGTAACTGAATCATGAGAGTAGGTCTTTCCCGTGCTGTTCTTGTGATAGTGAATAAGTCTCATGAGATCTGATGGTTTTATAAAGGGCAGTTCCCCCGCACATGCCCTCTTCCCTGCTGCCATGTAAGATGTCCCTTTTCTCTTCCTTTGTGTTCTGCCATGATTGTGAGGCCTCCCCAGCCATGTGGAACTGTGAGTCCATTAAAACTCTTTCCTTTATAAATTATCCAGTCTCTGGTAGGTCTTTATTAGCAGCATGAGAACAGACGAATACAATGGGTTTGACTTATTTGACTGTTGATAAAACTTCCTAGGCCATCAAGCATTTAAAGCAGTTAAGTTGATTTTTATATAACCTCAGGGTTCCCTGCCTGTAGTTCAATGGTCTAGGCAGAGCAAGAAGGAAATTCGTATTTTCCATTTTTCTTGTGGTGATAGGGAGATTTTAACTAATTAGAATAGTAGTAAATGAATAACAATCCCAAGTGATTTTCTTCATGTGTTGCTTGAAAGATATGTTTCAAGTTTAGCCACAAATGATGACATTTTTTAATTAATGAGTTTTTATTGTAAGTAAAGGATACGGGGCTTGGACTCAGGCAATGGGATAGATGATGCTGAAGCCCCTCAGGAGGTAGGAAACCCCTCATACTTGATGGTTTTGCAGGTATCAGGGAGCCCCCTCCGCTTTTTCTTATTATGCTCTCCCACAGGCTGATATATAAAATGGTCTTTTTTTTTTTTCTTTTGAGACGCAGTTTCACTATTGGTGCCCAGGCTGGAGTGCAATGCTATGATTTCGGCTCACTGCAACCTCCGCCTCCTGGGTTCAAGCGATTCGCCATCCTCAGCCTCCCGAGTAGCTGGGATTACAGGCATGCACCACCAAGCCCGGCTAATTTTTGTATTTTTAATAGAGACGGGGTTTCGCCATGTTGGCCAGGCTGGTCTTGAACTGCTGACCTCAGTTGATCTGCCCACCTCGGCCTCCGAAAGTGCTGGGATTACAGGTGTGAGCCACCGCCCCTGGCCATAAAATGGTCTTCTTTTGGCTTGAAGCTTTAATATTTTAAATACTTAAATGCCTACAGATAGAGAAACATTTACCATTATCCTTCACAGAAAAAATGGCAAATATGTGACCTTCAGGCGTCCCCTTCCATGAAAGCCATTGAGGATCAATCTCAGAATTCTTCCCCAGTGCACCTGCTTTCAAGAATCGCCTCTTAACCCAGCTGTCCAGGAAGCCACTCTGAATCTATTAGACTTCATATGCAAGCTGACATTGATGTAATTCTCCTCATGTGTATCTTATGTGAATGAATTTATTGAATCTTATGTGAATGAGTTCATTGAGTCAGAGCAAATTTTGAGAGTGAGAAAGGAAAGAAAGTATAAGGTTTTTGGATTCGAGGGAAAAACTCAGATGTTACCAGCAAGGGTGGGTTATAAACTTTGCCTATAACTTTTTACAGAGGTGGACATACTGTATATAGAATATCTAGTACTAAGTGCCACATACCATTATTATCACTTTGTGTTTGTTATGCCATTTTTTTCTTCACAGCAGCTTTAGGGGATGGGGAGAGGTCTCAGTTGTACAGTGGAGGAAACTGAACCTCCATGATATTTAAATTATATGTAAATTCTCTTACACCTTGGACAAGTCATTTAAACATCATGGAGATTCCGGCCGGGCGTGGTGGCTCACGCCTGTAATCCCAGCACTTTGGGAGGCTGAGACAGGTGGATCACTTGAGGTCAGGAGTTCAAGACCAGCCTGGCCAACATGGCAAAACCCCGTCTCTACTAAAAATAAAAAAAAATAGCTGGGCATGGTGGCACACACCTGTAATCCCAGCTACTTGGGACGCTGAGGCAGGAGAATCACTTGATCCCAGGAGACAGAGGTTTCAGTGAGCTGAGATCATGCCACTGCACTCCAGCCTGGGCAACAGAACAAGACTCCGTCTCAAAAAAAAAAAAAAAATCCTGGAGGTTCCCTTCTTTCCAGTGTAATCTGCAATTGTATACGTTGCCTCCAGAGTTGTATAGAATTACATCAGGATAGCATGAGAATCTTCTCAAAGTAGCCTGCATTTTCAGTGCTATGTTCCTTAGTAACAAAATTAAACATTAATTTGAGTGGACTAAGAATTAAAACTTCTATTTCTTCAACCTTTGTTTTTTCTACCTGATGAATAATAATGCAGCTCCTTGGAGATGATGTAAAATCATGATATTTTTCCAGTGTGGATAATATTTATCTAAATTTTCCTTATGAGTTCTCTTCTATGATATTTAATATATTCATGTTGACAATTAAATTTTGAAATTTTGTTGCACATATTCATCTGATAATTTTTTTAATGCTTTGATTGGCGATATTTTGTAATAAATACCTCATATTGGATAAAGAAATAACACTACTGAGGATGGCACAGTCAGCGATTTTTAGTAAGTGTGAGTTTTGGATTTAATGGCCGTATAGTTGCAATTTTAAAGTTATTGATTTGAACAAGAATTTTTCCAGGCCTTTTATATACAGCAGACATAGAACTGATTATGTATTGGATCGCTTTGTATATTCCTAATGAGTATGGGAGCATTCTTTTTATTTTCAATATCAGTTGACCTTATAAGGGACAGTTTTAATATTCATTTCAAACCAGAAATAGCAAGTATTATTTTTATACTAATTCTTCTGTGTGTCATGCTATTGTTTAAGCACCTACTATATGCCAACATCATACTGCAATGCTAGTTAGAATGTTGGAAAAAAGTGATGACCAATGGTTGCTGAGTGTTGAGAACACCTTCTTTCCATGTTCTCTCATCCTTTCTTCTGTGCACAGCCACAGTCTGCTCTGCAGCATCCCTGACATGACCTGCCACAGCTCAAACACATCTTCTAATGCTCATTAATATAACACTTATAACCACTTAATAGATACCAGGCCTCCTGCTACACATTTCACGGTAATTCACTTAATCCTCTCTATGACCCTATAAAGTAGAACTCCATTTTATAGAACAAAAATCTGAGGCACAAAGAGGTTAAGAAACACGATCAACAGCCAGTAAATAGTTGAGCCAGACTTTGAACCTAGACAGTCCTGCTCTGCATCAGTGTATATAACCTATATTCAGGTGTCTGAGCGAGAAGAAGCTCGAGTAATACAGCCTGGACAGGTGAGTGTCTGCGTAGAGCGAGGCAATGTGAGCGATGAGAAAGAGGCAAATCTGAGAAATCCTCCAAAGAATAAACTGAAGTAGATGTGAGATTGAATATAGACGCTAAGGAGAAGAGGCATGCCAAAGACTAATAGAATGATGGTATGCCCCTGGCCAGTGGGGTATTTGAAATGGGAAATGGTTTAGAGAAAAAAGTCAGGAGCTCCACTTCGATGGGTTTAATCTGAGGTGATGGGATCAATCCCAAATTGACTGGCATGCCACACACATGTGATGAAGTGGCAAAACAGTGTGGCATAGTAGAAAAACTTCGGATATGGAATGACAAAAAGCAAGTTCAAGCTGTGATGCTGATGCTAGTACCTCTGTGACACCATGCAAGTTTCTTTGCTTCTCTGAGCCCCAGTTCTCTTTCCTGTGATTAATTTCCTTTATTATGCCATTAGAAAGTTTAGACTAAAGTGGCGTGCCATGGAACAGACAGCTATTAAAGGTAGAATGAAGATCACATGCCAAATGACCTACCTTTTAGAATGTATTAATCTGAACAATATCTATTTAGGGGAAAAGGAATAATCACATTGTTAAGTCAGAGCTAGGATGGCCATACCATATGGTCCAAACCAGTACCCTTTTAAGAGTAAAGATGGGTGCTCTGAATAAATGCACCAGAACAACAGGGATTCTGGTATAATTGAGGGACTGTCATAGGAAAGGAATACAAATGGTTACCATACTCACAGCCATCAGAAGAGGTACTTCTGAAATAGTCTTTGTAGAAACCACAATTTGTGGTTTCCAGTTTTGAATGAAAATAATCCTGGATGAAAGAGGGTATATTCAGGATGTGATTTCCAGCTGAGGACCTTCCTTATGGACTACATCCAAGGACCAGTTGCCCCCTTTCTCCCCTCTTCCTTAGCAGCATTCCCCACCCCACTACTCTCCTTTGGTTCACACATGACACTCAAGCCACTGTAATCATTCAGTCGTCTGGAAGAAAAAGGAGTGACTTCATTGTATTAATATATCTGATGTCCTCTCCATTGCTAATACTTGTTCATTTCTGATTGCTGCCTTGTAGTTGCTCCGCTCTGCTGCTGATTGGTCTGCTGGTATAAAGTACCATGAAGAGTCCATCCACGCCGCTTACGTCCATGTGATAGAGAACAGCAGGCACTATATCTATATCGAAGTAAGTCTTGCTCATGTAAATTCGTGTGAGAAACTGCCTTCCCTTAAATATCATGCAGAGATTTCAGGGTCCCCAAACTTAGGACCCCTCATATTAATAAGTATATTTTGAGGCGTGAAAAGTGCTGGAGAAGCTCTGGTTCATATCACCTGAATTTTGACCTCCCAAGCATACCTGGAACTGGCTCTGCATTGTCATTAACTCAAGATTCTATTGGGAGTCTCACAAATCTTTGCTGTTAAAATGCATCATCAACTCATTGTAATAGTATTAGACAGAAATACCCCAACATGGATAGGTAAGTTTTGTTTTCGCTTGGGTTGGAGGGTTTAAGTGTGAAGCAAGTTCTATTTCAGGAGAGCACACACAGGGGTGAGTTGCTAAAATAGAGACCACTGGATGCCACTGGTTTGGGCATGGCGGAGTAGGGAGAGTGCAGGGAAAAGAACGTGGAAAAGGAAGATGTGAGAACATTAAGAGCAGGTACCACCTTCTTCAATCCTGTGTGAACTACTATTGATTAGGAAGCTTTTTTTCATCCCAGAATTTTTAGAGCATATGAGAAAATCTGGGGACACTGAGTTTAGTTTGGGAACTTAAATTACTCTTCAAAGTGAATATAAAAATAGTTCAGAGAACTTGAAAAACCCTGAGAAAATAAAAAGTCACAATAATGGAAAAAATAAATCATAGCATAATTTCCTTCCTTATTTGAGTCTTTTCTTTCCCATTGAATTTTTTAAAGGTAGATAGGGGAATGGGTTAACTGAGGAAAACCATTCTAGCCCTGTTTTTCTTCCCCTTGGGTCCTGGCCCTCTCCCGCTCTGCACAGCAACAATTCATTAGAGACAAGCAGGGAAGAATTGGAGCTTTATTTGTTTCATGAGCCTGGCTAGAGAAACCTAAGTTAAATATAATATATTAGCTGGCTAAATGCAGTGTGGTATCCTGAATGGCATCATGGAATAGATATAGGACATTAGTGGAAAATGAGCGAACTCTGCATAAAGTCTGGAGCTTAGTAATGCTATTAGTATTATTAATTTAAACAATTATACCATAGAGATGGAAAGATGTGAAGGCTGGCTCATCTATTGCCCAGAATCATTTTGCTTCATCTCTTTTTAGTAGCATTAACATCAGCTTTTCTGGCCGGGCACGGTGGCTCATGCCTGTAATCCCAGCACTTTGAGGGGGCCAAGGCGGGTGGATCACCTGAGGTCAGCAGCTCGAGACCAGCCTGGCCAACATGGTGAAACCCCGTCTCTACTAAAAATACAAAAAAATTAGCCGGGCATGGTGGCGGGCACCTGTAATCCCAACTACTTGGGAGGCTGAGGCAGGAGAATCACTTGAACCTGGGAGGCGAAGGTTGCAGTGAGCCGAGATCATGCCATTGCACTCAAGCCTTGGTGACAAAAGTGAGACTCCATCTCAAAAAAATAAAAAAAATAAAAAATAAAATAATCAGCTTTTCTTTTTAATGTGACAGTAGTATTAAATGATGTCAGTAACGCCATGTAGGTATACATAGTTGGGACATAGACCTGGTTGACACTCCTCTAGTCAAGATAAGCAGTCAGCATTCATCCGACTCTTCCAAAAAAGGAGAAGTAAAGGACATGACATGTAGCCAGTCTGTGTTTACAGCTGCTGAGGCATGCTAAGCTTCTTTATAATATGAATTCAGAAAAAGAAACATGGTTTGGTTGCCAATGAGATTTTGATTGTCTGATGCCCTAAGGGGAATCACATTCTCAAAAGACTTTCTGCACCGTGTCTTCCTGTAAGTTTGTCTTCTGGAGGCATTTTACAGATTTATGCACTTAAGTATAAAAGCTTATATAGTCATAAAAATGATAATGCCACAAAGGGATGATAATTACGAGTTGTTACATATATATCTCTTTACCTTGAGATGATTAGCAAATATTACTTTGTGATAATTGTCCTTATAAATTACAGATGTGTTATAACAATCTATTCTATTTGAACACATAACATTAGTAATATTTGCACCAAATTTTTCACATTCCTTTATGCAGCAACAAAATATTTTGCATTGTTATGATAATGTTGTAACTTGTTTTCTAGTAACAGTTTTAAAGACTATTTTGTAGATATATAAATAGCAGAAGTACTTAGAGGAAAAAAACATTTTTTATTTTATTAACTGGCTTATATATATGCAACATACAAAAGAGAGTTGAGGCTACTTAAAATAGAAGTTCAGAGATAATAAGAGACCCAGACAAACAAGACAAGGTGAAAGCAGATACCAGGAAATAATGGAGAAAGGGTGGAGAAAACTAGACCAGGCTTTACCATCTACTCTGTTAAAAAAGCAAGCTTAGCATGAGATAGAATGTTTGCCAATATAGAATTTTTAATCATAAGCATTTATACAACATGTGAATCTGAAAAAAACTAGTTTCCCCATTGATTAAATTTGCAGTGTTCCTAAGTATTCTGAGAATGTAATTTAGAAAATCACCTATAAGGAATTCTCATGGTGAAATAATATAGTGTAACTTTCCACTTGATTAAGTGTTACAGGTGATATGACCTGGAATCAGATGAGACCCTGAGTGAGATGAGGCGGCTTTTTTTCTGTGTCGTTGACTTTCTTGATGTGATTTCAGTGATCAGAACACATCTGCTGTGTGAAACATTTTAAAAAATATATTACAGTATTGTTCTTACGTATATTGCTAAGAAAATAAAGACTAACATGATTGTCTTGTTTATTTCTCATAGAACCAGTTTTTCATAAGCTGTGCTGATGACAAAGTTGTGTTCAACAAGATAGGCGATGCCATTGCCCAGAGGATCCTGAAAGCTCACAGGTAACAGCCTTTGGCTGAGAGTTCTCGCTGCAGATGTTCTTGTATTTATTACTAAAATGACTTTGCAAAGCCCATTTTTAAAGTACTGTCATTTCCTAGCAGCTTAAATTTGGTTCAGCCAGCAATAGGTTATTGATGCCTTTAGTCTGAGTCAGTTGCTAAAGATTTTTGACTGCCCTTTCTAGGGAATTTGAATTCTTCCAAGGCACAAAAATTTCTTCCTGGCCAGTCTGTTTCCCACACATGAGGTTTGTGATTTGTTTTATTTAATAGCAGACTATGAGCTGTGTTCGCTTAAAAAAGCAAAACAGACATAATATTTTGCTATGGGTTATATTTAAATTCTTGTTACCGTATGTCATATTTATTCAGCTCATGGGATTTTTTTTTTAATAATTGGTTTGCTGAGATAGAATTTACATACTGTATAATCCAGCCACTTAAACTATACAATTCAGTGATTTTTAGTGTATTCACAGAGTTGCACAACCACCACCTAATCAATTTTAGAACATTTTCATCCACTCAGAAAGAAACCCCATTAGCAGTCATTACCCATTCCTTCTATTTTTAGCCTCTGGCTACCACTGATTTTTCTTTTTCTATAGATTTGCCTAATCTGGGCATTTTGTATAAATGGAGTCACACAATATGGGGTCTTTTATGACTGATTTGTCTTAGCATAATGTTCTTGAAGCTTATCTATTATTATAGCATGTATCAGTATTTCATTTCTTTTTATTGCCAGATAATATTCCATGATGTGGATATACCACATTGTATTTATCCATTCATTAGTTGATGGACATTTGGGTTGTTTCTACTTTTTGCCTATTATAAATAATGCTGCTATAAACATCCTTTACTAGTTTTTGTGCAGATATATATTTTCATTTCTCTAGGGGTAGAATTGTCAGGTTATAGCTAACTCTATGTTTAACATTTTGAGGAACTGCCAGACTGTCTTCCAAAGCGGCTCTGCCATTTTATATTCCCATAGTATATGAGAGGTCCAGTTTCTCTGTATTTGCCAATACTTATTATTATCTCTCTCTTTGATTATAGTCATTCTAGTAGGTGTGAAATACCATTTAAGAAATGGTATTTCATTGTGATTTTCATTTGAATTTCTCTAATGACTAATGATACTGAGCATCTTTGTGTGTGCTTATTGGCCATTTGTGTATTATCTATGGAGAAATGTCTACTGAAATCCCTTGCCCATTTGTTCACTGGGGTATTTGACTTTTTATTTTTGAGTTGTAAGAATTCTTTATACATTCTAGATACAAGTCTCATATCAGATATATGATTCCTAGTTTCTCCCATTCGATGGCTTGTCTTTTTACTTTCTTGCTGGTGTCATTTGAAACAGAAATTTTTTTTATTTTGATAAAAGCTAACTTATCTATTTTTTTCCTTGTATCGCTTGTCCTTTTGGTATCTAAGGAATATAGATAGTGATATCTAAGAAATCACTGCCTGATCTAGGATCATGAAGATTTATGCCTGTTTTCTCCTGGGAATTTTATAGTGTTAGCTCCTACATTTAGATATTTGACTCATTTTGTTACTTTTTATATATGGGGTGAGTTAGGGGCCCAACTTTTTATTCTTTTGTTGATGGATATAGAGTTGCCCTAGCACCATTTGTTAAAAAGACTATTCTTTCCACATTGAATTGTCTTGGCACCAGGGACAATTTCTTCTTATGGCTGATTTCAGCTCCATTTAAAAGTAGCAGAACAAACACATAAGCAAAACCATTATATTTCATTACTTTAAGTCATTGAATGCACGCAGTGAAGAATAAGTGCATATGCATTTGGGAATTAAAACACTTTTTACTTCCAGTGTCATGTGGTACTTTGATATCTTTTTTCACATAATATTTGGGGACTTTTATACTTAAGGACATATTATAACAGTAACTATCAGCATTTTATGTGATTCACAGTTTATAACTACATTATCTCACTGAATCTTCACAACTACACTTGAGAGTAGGTCATGTATTTGTTGTTGTTATTGTTGTTATTATTGCTGTTGTTGCTGTTCCCATTTTTAGGATTAAAAACTGAGATTCAAGAGGTTATGTGACTTGTCTAGGCCACTAACCACAATAGGCAAAAAACAGCTTTGAGCCTAAATCTTTGGACTTTCAACCCAATGCTTCCCCTCACACCACATGACTCTAGTGCATTGATGGTTAGGATTAAAAACCCATTCAGGGCTTCCCCAAGCTGAGGCAAATGTGTTGGGCCTGTAGTTCCCTTCCCCTATTGACCAGCCATTGGATGCAGGCTGACCCTAGGGAGTGGGGATGACCTTGAGTGAGGCAAGTCCCTTTCACCTATGGAGGACTCCATACTTTTCATACCTGGAGGACTTCACTGTGAGTATTCCGTGGCCTACATGCTCAGTAGCTGATGGGATGGATGTCTTGATCCCATGGTGAGGGGATCTAGGCAGCACACTACAGCATCCATCATATCCTGCAGTGTGTACAGTGGATCTCACCTGTGACTACACATCAAAATCACCACTGACTTTTGCAAGATTACAGAGAGCTTGACTCACCTCCAGGCTTACTGGATCATAATTTCCTGGATCGGGGCCTGGCCCCGGTATTTTATACTGTTCCAAAGATGTGTTTTTAAGTGTTTGGAAGCCTGAAAGAATATTTTTCTTTACTGTAGTAATTTGTCTTTAAAAATCTGGACTTCTAAAATAATAAAATTAGGCTGGGCATGGTGGCTCACGCCTGTAATCCCAGCACTTTGGGAGGCTGAGGCGGGTGGATCACCTGAGGTCAGGAGTTTGAGACCAGTCTGACCAGTGTGGTGAAACTCTGTCTCTACTAATAGTACAAAAATTAGCTGGGCTTGGTGGTGCATGACTGTAGTCCCAGCTGTTCAGGTGGCTGCGGTAGGAGAACTGCTTGAACCCAGGAGGTGGAGATTGCAGTGAGCTGAGATCATGCCATTGCACTCCAGCCTGGGTGACAGACCAAGACTCTGTCTCAAAATAAATAAATAAATAAATAAATAAATAAAATTATAGTATTTTAGGGCTACAAGAAACTTCAAGATATTTTCTGATAGAACATTTCCTAGTGATCTTATGAGCTGCTCCTGAAAGGAAAAGGGATCTGTGACTTTAAAAATTATGGTAAAGTAGCACCTGTTGCAGATTGTATCTTACACTTGGAGTTTGACAGAGCACATTAAAGACTGGCAATTTCAAGTTTGCTTTGTGAAAAATGGGAAATTAGTTCATCAAATTTCAAATAAACCTGTGTCATTTAGCTCTGATCTCTCAATAGTCTCATTTTTTTGACAGACACATTTTCAAAATGGTACATATGTCACACATTTAGACTTTCAGTGGATACACACACACATTCTCAAAACATATTTTATGTTCCCCTCACCCCTGGCGTCTCTGCATTCTTGTTAATCTCCCTATGTTAATTGCAACTGTAAAATATATTTTCACTTAATTTCAAATCTGTGAGCTTGTGTTCTGTGAGCTTGTGTTAGGCAAGGTAAAGGCAGAATTAAAAAGCTTATCTTGGGCAGGTGTGGTGGCTCACACCTGTAATCCCAGCACTTTGGGAGGCGGAGGCGGGAGGATTTCTAAAGGCTAGAAATTTGAGACCACCTGTCTTTACAAAAAAATAAAAAATTATCCAGATGTTTTGGTGTGCCTGTAGTTCTAGCTACTTGGAGGCTGAGGCAAGAGGATTCCTTAAGCCTGAGAGTATGAGGCTGCAGTGAACTATAATCTCACCACTACACTCCAGCTTAGGAGATAGAATGAGGCCTCATCTCTAAAAAAATAAATAAATAAAAAATGAAAGAAACAACATATTTTGCAGGTTGCCACCCTGGGGTGACCCCTTTTCACTAATTAGGTGCCATGATGTGCCATCCCAAACTTACCCCTCTCTCTCCATAGACTTCTCTGGTCTCTACTTTTCTGAGACTCAGAACTTCCCTGCCAAAGTCACATTCTTAGCAACAAGTATAATTTTGGCTATTTGAAAAAGAATAGAATGCAGCCCAAAGCAGATGGAGGGAAATGACAGTCCGCAGTCAGCCAGGCCTCACCAAAGAATACAGGCCCTCTGCCAGGTCCCTCCTACCCTGGAGAAATCTGAGTCTTCAAATTGCCAACTCCCTGGACTGGTCTAAGTATTTTTCTGCCAGCGTTGGAATCCAGCCTCACAACAATTCCCCTAAGCAATTTCTCAGTTCCTCTCACTTCCTCTGGTTCCTTCTCAACAGCCATAATTCTTTATAGAAATAAGTTTTGCAAAGCCTTCATGTTCTGACATGACCTAGAGCCTCAGACTCATGTTTACCCCATGCTGACCTCAGAACAGCCGGGGGAATCAGAATAAAAAAAAAACAAAAAACAAATCTTCACTCTAATAAGTAAAACTGTCTCAGAGTTGAAGCCAGCTGCCCAACCCACTTGAAACCTTTCTTTGACAGCTCAAATGTGATTGGCGATCAGAGAGAAAAAAAATCATAATCCACAGTCTAAAATTTACTGTTTTATGCCATGTTTGACTAAGCCAAAAGATAGGACCAACTGATCCAGGTAGACACATTTTTAAACACTGTGTGCCATGAATGAATGGTTTCTGAGGAGATTCTCAGATCTTTGCACATGGAAACTTGACATGCATAATTTTTCTGCTTTGGTAGAAAGTCAGGAAGTGAGAAAGTGCATTTTATAGTGTTAGCAACAAACAGTTGACACACACAATGAAAATAGTCAGTTGACTTAATGCTTCTATGTTTTAATATTAAACTGCATTAAAAATATGCTATTAAACTACATTAAAACAACAATTTTGAACATTGTTCAAACTTACCATGTTCTTTTTTTTTTTTTTTTTTTTGAGACAGTCTTGCTCTGTCACCCAAGCTGAAGTGCAGTGGTGTGATCTTGGCTTACTGCAACCTCCATCTCCCGGGTTCAAGCAATTCTCCTGCCTCAGCCTCCCGAGTATCTGGGATTACAGGCACCCGCCACCACACTCAGCTAATTTTTTTGTATTTTTGGTGGAGACGGGGTTTCACCATGTCGGCCAGGCTAGCTTTGAACTCCTAACCTCAAGTGATCCGCCCACCTCGGCCTCCCAAAGTGCCCCTCATGCTTCTTATAACTGTAGAAGAGCTACTGCTTGCCTGTAAGTGGGTGGTATGGGAAATACCACACTGGGAAATCTGAAATTATTGGGGGACCAGATGTCTGGAGACCTGGATTCTCTCCAGCTCTGTTATCCACAGGTATGTGACCTTCTGAGTACGTCAGTTTGTCCTTCTGACACGCTGTTTCTTCACCAACCACGAATAATATTATCTGTTCTACGTAGCTTATATGAATATATGTGAAAGTAGTTTGTAAGCTGTAAAGCACCAGTTCATGTAAGAACTTATTATAGCATTTCCATGATATTCATCATCTGGAAATATGTTGTTCACTGTAAATTGAAGCAAGGATAAAGAGGCATCATATTCAAATCAGCTGTTTCAAAATTAGTATTTATGCTAGAAAAAGAAATGTTTTAATTTAAAAGATGCTTAAATGTTCCGTATTTTAAATTATTGGACGGCTACTTCTGGATAAGAAAAATTTGTTTTGGTTTCTCACGACTGGCTGTTGTTCATCATGTGACTTGTTTAGGCACACGATTACAACACTCTGTCTAGAGGTTTGCTGCCAGAAACCTATAGCTGACTCTTCCTGGGAATCAATTTTTGATTTCCCTGTTATTGATCTGATAACACTCTCCCCAAAATATAAAGTAAAACAAAATGTATTCTGAAGCATAATATGTGTTTAGTTTAGTATTGTTTTAATTTTAGATGCTATTTACTTTGTTGTTATTTGAAGATATGCAAGCCTTCTAATTGAAATCAGCAATTGATATAATTGAATAAAAATGTTACCAAATAGTTTCTGAGTCTTTCCACATAATCAGTGCTATACCTGTGTTACCTCATTCAGTCTTTGTATCAACTTTATGGGATTGGTTGTGTAATTACTCCCATTCTACAGATGAGGCAGCTGAGGCCTAGTGAAATTAGATAACTTAGCCAAGTCATACAGCTATGGTTGGATAGGAGTAGGACTCAAACCATGTCTGTAGGACCTCAACTTGTGCTTTTTACCAGTAAGCTACAAAGCTTCCCCCATTTCAAGGGATGTAGAAATTTTCGAATGGTAAGCCTCCCAGAAATCTATGAAAAATACTTTATTTTGAAATATAAAAAATTGAATGAGCTGGGCACTGTGGCTTATGCCTTTGATTCTAGCACTTTGGGAGGCCGAGGCAGGAAGATCACTTGAGTTCAGGAGTTCAAGACCAGTCTGTGCAACATAGTGAGACCTAGTCTCTACAAAAAAAAAAAAAAAAAAAAAAAAAAAAATAGCTGAGTGTGCTGGTACATGCCTGTGGTCCCAGCCATCCGGGAAGCTGAGGTGGGAGGATCTCTTAGCCTGGGAGGTGAAGGCTGCAGTGCGCCATGATTGCACCACTGCACTCCAGCCTGGGTAACAGAGCAAGACCCTGTCACAAAAAGAAAAAAAAAATCAGATGAATGTTTTATTTTTTAAAAGCAATGTTTGATAGATTAAAAGTTCTTGGGTTTAAAGAAAAATCTATGTCCATAATTACCATATCCTATAATTTTGTACCAAACTGAAAAGACATGTTGGGCTTGTTTCAGAAGCCTTGTCTTAAAGAAAATTCAACTGCAGTACCTTTTTTTTTTTTTTTTTTTGAGAAGGAGTCTCACTCTGTCGCCGAGGCTGGAGTGCAGTGGCGCGATCTTGGCTCACTGCAAACTCCACCTCCTGGGTTCACGCCATTCTCCTGCCTCAGCCTCCCGAGTAGCTGGGACTACAGGTGCCTGCCACCACGCCTGGCTATTTTTTTGTATTTTTAGTAGAGACGGGGTTTCACTGTGTTATCCAGGATGGTCTCGATCTGCTGACCTCGTGGTCCGCCCGCCTTGGCCTGCCAAAGTGCTGGGATTACAGGCATGAGCCACCGCGCCTGGCCAAAACACATTTTATCTAAGTATGCCAATCATTGGTTTCACATTTTTTCTTGTGGGATAACTCCCAAGCTCTGTACGATTTCTGGAGAAGAGGTTACCTTGGGACACAGATGACAACAGATCGTGGCAGGAGACCTTTTGATTTAGGTCATGTAAATGCTTTTATTCTATTCTAAAAATTGTATAAAATGGTAACCTCAGCAGATAGAGAAATGTAAAGATTAGCACAGGGCAGGGGCCAGCACTCATTTTGAGCCTGAGCATGTGCCCTGGAAAAGAGAGGAAGGAAGAAGGAGACTTAAAAATGACAATGAAAACCGTCTGGGCCATAGTGGGAACAGTTTAGTATAAGGTTCTATATAACCTCATTTGGGGGCCACTCAGGGCTAGGCTTGCCAAAGACTATCAAGCCCAGGGTGAAGTCTAAGTCAAACATGCTGGGGAATCCCTCAGCATTCTTATGTTTGAAAGCTTGCCATTTTCAAAAGATAACCAATGAGAAAACTGATGTGTGTTTGTGCACAATATATAATAGTTCATAATCTATGAAGTCACATAGAGGATAGGTAAAGTCAGTGCTAAATAGGGCCAGCATTTCTAGTGGACTAGTCATGATTTTAGCCAGTTCTTTCATGTGCAGATGAGGAAACTGAAGCCCAGAAGGATCTTCTCCTTTTAAAGGATTTGCCAAGCACAAAATAAAAGGGGTTATGTCCCAAACGACCAAGAAGCTACAGATCCAATTCCAACATAATTGATACCACCATAGTATAAAATTCTCTTTACACACACACACACACACACACACACCCTAAGCCCTAACCACAATTCTTCCTATTTCTGACAGTATTCACTGCTGCAAAATCTACAACGAGACGATTTATAGCAGCTCTTGAAGTTTACAGTAATGAAATACAAACTATAAATCTCAAATTCTCAAAAAAATAAAGTGTCTTGTCACTAGCGAAGCATATCAAGCTTCCTCGGGGCCTTCTTGCCAGACCCTGAGACCCAGTTGTGAGCAGATCAAGCTTCTCCTAACTGTCCTTCATGCTGAGGAGGGACTGTGGGTGAAGGAGGAGGGGCTTATGCAGCAGAGAAAAACAAGAAAAGGAAAGTAGAGGTACATCACTGCTGTGACCCATCTACATGGTACATTCGTACTCTGCTTTTAAAGGTACAAACAGCTTTATAGCAATCACAAAAATTTTAAAATTAATTTTTTTTTTTTTGAGACGGATTCTCGCTCTGTCGCCCGGGCTGCTGGAGTGCAGTGCCGCGATTTTGGCTCACTGCCAAGCTCCGCCTCCCGGGTTCACGCCATTCTCCTGCCTCAGCCTCCCGAGTAGCTGGGACTACAGGCGCCCGCCACCACGCCTGGCTAATACACACACACTACTATTTTCTGTTGAATTGTAATTTATTTTCTTTTCCTAGAGTTCATCTGAATTTCTAGCTCAAGCGCATTTCCACACAATAGGAGGGGTTTTAGTTTTAGTTTTGGCACTTCCTGATAAATGTGGCCAAATTCAGTGATTTCTCATTATTTCCCTTCTATATTCAGCATCAGGGTTCTACTCCTGCCTCCTCTCCCTCCACATCCCGTCCTTGATCTTAATGCTATGGGGCCCTGGATCTTTGGAAAGGGGCTTCCAGACACTGATGTTGATCTCCCTCCGGCCTGTTCTGGCATCTGCTTAACGTAGCTTGGGGACGTCAGCCTTCACCTTTCAGGCCTGCCTCTCTACCACTTCTCCTCTGCTCCTGCCACATCGCATAGCTGCTGAACGACATGCTCCACATTTCTCTGGAGTTCACCTGAAAGCAAGGCACAGATCCTCCTGGCTCTCATATCCTCACATTGAAAAGAGAGTGGGGTCTATCCTGTTTTTCCCCGAACTCAGCTTGAGGCCAAAGGACTGATTCCTTGCCCTGAGTCTTGCTCTTATTTCTCTACACTCCTGCCTCAGCTTAGAGAATCTCTCCAGTTCCCCAAATCTAAAAGAAGTTGATGTTTTTGTGTCCTGCTTCCCTTGTGAGAGTGCCACCCCGGGAGCAATGCCTGCTTCGTTTCTCCGGTCACAGAGTGGGGGAAGTTAACACATTTAAAGGGAAAAATGATTTAATGTTTTATAGCATTGGCCTGCCACATTTTTATTCTCTTATAACATTGCATTGGGGCCATTTTAACACAGTACCAGAAGTATTGTGCTACTGAGCCTTCATAGCGGTCATTTTTAGTGGCTACAAGGTGATCATTCCATTGACTGGCTCAACATAATTTAACCATTCCTTTATTATTGGACATTTATTTCCAATTTTTAGCTATTATACGTAGCACTGCCATAAGAGTTAGTGAATTTTGAAGAAAAACTTTTAACAAGAAGCCTGAGAATGCTGTTTGGTAGAAATTGCTTTGAACTAATGTGGATGAAGTGATTGCTGGCATGATGGGTAGTTATCCGGGGCTTAGTGCCCACTAGCCCCAAAAGCAAGATTGCTTTTAAGATCATAAATATTTTATACACTAGGGGCTCAGATTCTTACCCTAAGCTGAATGCTATCATTTCCACAACCCCCATGTTGTGAGGATTCAGTATTTCCGAAGGACGTTGGATTCCTCAGCAGCTGGAACTCTTGTCCTCTGTGGATTGGATCAAGGAGGCAGATTGGACACAGTGTCCCATGGAATCTTCTGTGCTTTGGCTTACATTCAACCACAATTTTGCGTTTGAAATTCCAGAGCCCTTTTTTCTACAGCAGTGAAAATCTAAATAGTTTCCACTAGTTTGCTGAACGCAGTTTAAAATTTTCATCATTCAGGAAATTTATGAGCTACCATATTGTAAAATAGCAAAGGGCTTGTTATGGAGCTAAGAGAGTCCTAAAAACAAGAAAATGTGAATATTCTGATTCCTACAAACTAAAATTTGCAAGAATGTTTTATAATATTTTTATAGGACATTTCTCAATATCATACATATGAGATCTCCCTTGTAAAATCATTTTTGCTTAAAAAAAAAGATAAAATAGAACTGTCTCTTACAAACATCATCACAAACATTTGTGTCAAAGACCAGCAATACCACTTGTAAGATTTTTCCAACAAATGTGAAAAATTACTTTTGTTAGTCAGCGTAAATATCAAAATAGTTACTTTGAAATAGAAAAAAAATTAGAAGCAATTTAAATGCCTATCAGTAAAGAACTGGTTTAAATATTAAAGTATAGATGCATGGTAGAATATTACCTCCCTGTTCTTAAAAAGTAACTATGTTCTGGCCAGGTGCGGTGGCTCACGCCTGTAATACCAGCACTTTGGGAGGCCGAGGCGGGTGGATCACGAGGTCAGGATATCGAGACCATCCTGGCTAACACGGTGAAACCCCGTCTCTGCTAAAAATACAAAAAATTAGCCGGGCGTGGTGGCAGACGATTGTAGCGCCAGCTACTCGGGAAGCTGAGGCAGGAGAATGGCATGAACCTGGGAGGTGGAGCTTGCAGTGAGCCGAGATCGCACCACGGCACTCCAGCCTAGGCGACAGAGCGAGACTGGGTCTCAAAAAAAAAAAAAAAGTAACTATGTTCTTATGTGGAAGGATTTCCAAGATACCCTGTTAAATGATAAAAATCATGTTCAGAAAAGTGTTTATAGTATTCTAATATTTGTGTAGAAGGAAAAAATACATATATTCTTATAAATTCTTACACTATTTCTAAAAGAACATGGAGGAAACTGTTAACAGGAGTTGCCCTCAGGATGAAGGAGTGAGAGAGATTTTTTTTCACTGTATAATCATCTACCTCTTACATTTTGTACTATGAGCATATGTTACTCATTTGAAAGTAACCTGTTTGGTAGTTCCTCAAAATGCTAAACATAGAATGACCACATGACCCAGCAGTTCCATTCCTGAATATAAACCCCAAAGAACTGAAAACAGGGACTCACAGATACTGTATGCTAGTATTATAGCAGTATTATTCACAATAGCCAAAAGGTGGAAACAACATAAGTGTCCATTAACAGATGAATGTGATATGTACATACCATGGAATATTATTCAGTCTTAAAAAGGAGGGAATTCTGACGCATGCTACAACATGGGTGAACCTTGAAGATGTTATGCTAAGCGAAACAAGTCAGACATAAAGGACAAGTATTGTATGATTCTAATTATATGCAAAATCCAGAACCAGCAGATTCATAGAGACAAGCAGATTAGAGGTTTCCAAGGGGTGCAGGCAGGGAAAAACAGGGTAGTT
Source organism: Homo sapiens (assembly GCF_000001405.40). Classification (NCBI taxonomy): domain Eukaryota; kingdom Metazoa; phylum Chordata; class Mammalia; order Primates; family Hominidae; genus Homo; species Homo sapiens. The sequence goes on along the minus strand of NC_000003.12, from coordinate 171,647,867 downwards.
ATGACTGGATAGTCACCGAGTTTCTGTCTGGGATGTTGAAAAGGTTTGGGAATAGATCATTATGATAGTTGTACAACATTGTATATGTAATTGATGCCACTGAACTGTACACTTAAAAATGGGGGCTGGGCGCGGTGGCTCACTCCTGTAAGCCCAGCACTTTGGGAGGCCGAGGCGGATCACCTGAGGTCAGGAGTTCGAGACCAGCCTGACCAACATGGAGAAACCCCGTCTCTACTAAAAGTACAAAATTACCTGGGCGTGGTGGTGCACACCTGTAATCCCAGCTACTCAAGAGGCTGAGGCAGGAGAATTGCTTGAACCTGGGAGGCGGAGGTTGCAGTGAGCCGAGATCGCACCATTGCACTCCAGCCTGGGCAACAAGAGCGAAACTCTATCTCAAAATAAAAAAAAAAGGGTAAAATGGCAAATTTTATATTACATGTATTTTACCACAATAAAATGTAATTTAATTTAAAGACATAAAATATAATTTTATTTAAAGAAAAAAATGTATGTAATATATTATATACACTTTACAAACAAAATGTAATTTAATTTAAAGGAAAAAATTCCTGTTCAGCTTAACCTCTTCTCTACCAGAAACTTCCCCAGAAACATTTTTCCAACCTGATCCCATCCTCCTAAAGCAAATAATACCGAGTGCATAGCATGTGCAAGGGTCTTTGATTGGGTACTACCAAAACCAGAAAGATATGTGGGCAGGCATCCTGTGTTTCAAAGGAGCTTATCACATAGCCTAGAGAGCAGATGTGTGTATCACTATCGTGTAAAGCAGAAAGAGTGCAGAACAGACATCCTGGCCATGTGCTATGAGTGCCGAGGCAAGAATAAAACAACTCTGACTGGAAGAGCCAAGTGGCTTGGCAGAGGAAATAGCCAATAAGGTGACCTAGAAGAAGTGGGATTCACTGGAGGCCCAGAAGGCTGATGAGCCAAGCTTTATTAGTAGGAAGGTGTACCTCTGAACAAAGGGTGGTAGTCTCCTGTCACTGGGCTGTGGTGATGGGAGGATTATACTGTAAGGCAGTATAATCCTGAATTCTGAAAAGGCAGTTGAGGCCAAATGACATCCATTTTTAACTGTCCAGTTTAATTTTTTGACTTTTAAATGTTGGCTGTGGGGAAATAGCTTAATAGCTTAGGTTTTCTTTTCTTTTTTTTTTTTTTTGTCTGTTCTTTTTCGCTATCCTGCTCACCATTTAGGGATGTGAGCCTTTTATTCTTACCAAGCAGCAAACTTGAACAGTTTACATTTTTTAATGTCTTCTTTCCAACTCAAACTATGTTTGCCATCTAGTGAATAATCCATGCCATTACAACAACCTACTCAAGATCCTTGTTTCTTAGCATGGCAGCCAAACTCACAGGCCTCCAAATTTCATTGTTGGTAGTCATTTCTGCCCTGAACTTCTCTTTCCACTTGCCCTGACATCGACTTTAGAGACATCAGTAATAAAATCTGATCCCCCAAAGAGTACTGATAATATTCACATGAAAGAAAAATTTAGTTGTTTAGAAGAAAATGCACTTTAGAAATGAGAAGTTTAAGTAGGATCGGACTTGAAAATTAACCAATGACAACACCTTTGTGTGAATATAGTCCTCCCGGATATCCCAGCGAGATTCATTGATCACAGTGTATGTCACATTCCTTTCGAGGCTTTTTCTTCTCCCTGTATATCCTATAAATAGAGACAAGAACGTTAATAGCTTTTGATTCTGAATAAATGGTACCTATTTGGAGCATACTTCAAATTTCTGATTTTCTGAATGCCCGTCAAAGAGAGAAAGCTACACTTTCTTCTTCTATTGTTATATCATTGAGTAGAATTCATTTTCTTTCAAAGGTTGTCATTAATCACTTGAGAGAATGGGACATGAAATATTGTGTTGTATGTGCAGGGGACTTAAATATACATACTGGCCACTCAGAATTCTTTTTTTTTTTTTTTTTTTTTTTGAGATGGAGTCTCGCTCTGTCACCCAGGCTGGAGTGCAGTAGCGCGATCTCTGCTGACTGCAAGCTCCGCCACCCGGGTTCACGCCATTCTCCTGCCTCAGCCTCCCGAGTAGCTGGGACTACAGGCGCCCGCCACCACGCCCGGCTAATTTTTTGTATATTTAGTAGAGACGGGGTTTCACCGTGTTAGCCAGGATGGTCTCAATTTCTTGACCTCGTGGTCCACCTGCCACGGACTCCCAAAGTGCTGGGATTACAGACATGAGCCACCACGCCCGGCCGGCCACTCAGAATTCTTAAAGGGCCTAGGGTAACATTTTACAGCTGAAAACTCAGAGTTTCTAAGTAGATAATGATGACTTCTGTTTTGGAAAATGTAATGGGTCCAGTGTGTCTTTTTGCCCCTGCGATCTAGGCTATGAGAACTGATTTACTCAACAATTATTAACTGAATGTCTACTATTTCCACGGCTCTAGCTAGGTACTGTGTTAACTATTAAGTTCTTTTTCCAAAACTTTGTTATAGCCTCCCCTACCCGCCTCTTTCCATGGGATCCAAGCAAGGATTTCTTACACTGCATTTTGTCCTACAAGCGATTATGCTGTAGAGAGACAATGGGTACAATTTCTACTTTACTGCCAAGTTTAGCTTGTTATTCAGGCTATGAAGCGATAGCCTGGATGACAGCTTCTGTCTTCCAGTCCAACAGCACACCCTCCCAAGTCCTGAAATGTGACAGAACGTGTTGTAGGAAGCCATTCACTCAATCTCAAAAACCATGTGAACTGCTTGGCTGTCATCTAAAATTGATACTACCTTTTATTTTTTGGGTGAATTTCTCTGCATCTGACCTTTGCAGGGAAAACCAGAAATACCGGGTATATGTCGTGATACCACTTCTGCCAGGGTTCGAAGGAGACATTTCAACCGGCGGAGGAAATGCTCTACAGGCAATCATGCACTTCAACTACAGGTGCCAAAACTCTAAATGGTCTATTTTGAGCTTTCGGTCATGCATCATGTAAGCTGATGAAGGGAATGGCAGTGTTTCTCCACATCCATTCGGTGGAGTGGGGAACAAATGAACACTTTATTTTACTTTCAAATCTTGGCCCGTTTGCTAGTTGATAAAATTCAAATGGAGCCTACAATGATAAATGATTGGCCTAAGACACATGGCAAACATAAAAGAACTAAAATATTAGTCCTTCTTGTATAGTTACTGTCTATTTCTATATATGTATAATGTTGATTAAAACTTATCTTTAAGTGGGTAAATAGCTATTGAGCTTTACATGTACTTTGCAGTAAATAGAGAAAAAATTAAATGCCTGAAATGGTAAGATTTGCTTGTGTTTGGTTATGATTCTTTAGGTAGCAAGTCCTTCAACAAGGTTGATAATGATAGCCTCTGTTAGTAAATAAATTCCCGGAATTTTGTTTTCTCTACCACATCTTTGTTAAAATTTTAGGGAAAGTTTTGTGCTTGATATTTTTAAAAGCTGAGTTTTTATATTTATTTAAAAGGGCACACTTGGGTTCCTCTTGAGGCTTCAGATTTGGCCAGTGGAGCATTGTGAAAAGGGCTGGAAAGTGCTAGCTGGTGGGTTGGGGGAGCACAGGCTAGAAAGCCTGCATAGATGGGGATGGAAATGCACCTCTGACCTTCTCTCAGGGTCACTTAACCAAAATCTCTTATTTTTCTGAACCACCTGTAGTTTCTCACCTTTCTAATCAAACCCTTCTGAAAGGTGGGAGAGGACGAATGATACTTTACATAGAACCTTTGGTAAGTAAAGCAGATTAGGGGTCAGGGCCTTGGTCAAATCGGGGGTGGAGACTTAGATGCCCTCCTGCTTGGGCCCCCTCGCCAGATGCTCCTGCTGGAGGATCTGTGCACAGTTCGAGTGCACCATTGTAGTGGAAATTTTTTTTTAATCCTCTTTTTTCTTACTGATGTTTCAAGCTTGTATCTGTTTATCTGCCAGGATTTCAAGGAAAGATTTTTGTTTGTTTGTTTCCTCCAGGGTGCTTCTGCCTAGTTACAGTACAAGAGAGCTTTAACTGTGCTTTGGCCTATATACTTGGACTGAAGATTTGCACATTTCTAATATTATCTGATTTATAAAATGATAAAGCTTTTCAAGTATTTAAGGCTCTGACATAATGTTTAATTGAATTTTATCAATTTCATTCGCCATTCTAATATTATTTTTGTAATATTGTTAATTGTAATTGTTTTCTATGACTATTTTCTTGCCTTCGAACCAGCTGAATGAAATAACACATTTGGCTTTTGTTCAGAAACAAAAACTATAACCTTTTATTATGCAAAAACATCTCTATTTGCTGGCATCATCTTTAATAATAGCATTTCTCAGGCATAAGTATACTCTTTATTACTCTCATAGAGCAAGCAGATGAAGCATAGAATTTTTGGTTTTGTCAGATTTTATAATTCATCAGTGATTATCAGAGTCTTAAGAAACAAAATCATTAGCAGAGTCCTTTATTTGAGACTATATTTTTCGTTTTTAGTGGTTTTGCTGAATTTAAAGACAGTCCATTCTAATAGTTTAATTTGTAAATTATTCTGCTAAGTGCTTGCCCTTTTCACCTCTGAGAGCAATGTGATTCTCTAAGTATTCTTATCTACTGATGCATTCTAAATTTATCTTTGCTGTTACCCAGTTTTGTAAGAGGGAAAGTTCATTCATGACCCTTCTTTTTTTAATAGCCTCTCTTTCTGAAATCTAACACGAATTTTATAACTTTTCCATTTACCTACCTCAAAACAACTATCATGTCCCTATTAGTAGCATTACAAAAGTGATATTCATGTAACTGTTTTTAGCATTTAGATATATATGTAGCATCTTCTCATAGAAGCACTTGTTCTGTTTTTACTTGTGTTAGGATTAAACCTACAGATACTGCATGGGATTGGTTGTTTTGAAACCTCTGTAATTATTTTCTCCTTTACATATTTTCAGAACCATGTGCAGAGGAGAAAATTCCATCCTTGGACAGTTAAAAGCAGAGCGTAAGTAACTGCTTTTTTTCTCATATCATTGTTTTTTATTATGAAGGTGAGGTATCAGTAATCATTAATGTTTTCACAGTGTGATTATAGAACTCTGTTTATAAAAGGTACCCCACAAAATGTTCACCTGTAATAAAGTATTTATTCTCATTAAGTTGCCCAAACCATTATTCAAATGAAGACACCAAGACTAAATAGGTAATAAAAACCGAGCATCTTTGTAATTTCTATTTATTTTTATTTATATATAGTTGTTTTAATAATAACAATCATCTTTATGAGGTATTATAGTTGTTTGTTCTTCTTTATCTACTGGATACAATTTTTTATACTTTTCAAAGACACTTTCGCAGACGTCTTTTTTTTTTTTTTTTTTTTTTTTGAGACTGGGTTTCATTCTTGTTGCCCAGGCTGGAGTGCAATGGTGTGGTCCCAGCTCACTGCAACCTCCGCCTCCTGGGTTCAAGCAGTTCTTTTGCCTCAGCCTCCCGAGTAGCTGGGATTACAGGTGTGCGCCACCATGCCCAACTAATTTTTTTGTATTTTTAGTAGAGACGAGGTTTCACCGTGTTGGCCAGGCCTGTCTAGAACTCCTGACCTCAGGTGATCCACCCGCCACAGCCTCCCAAAGTGCTGGGATTACAAGTGTGAGCCACCATGTGCAGCCTCAGATGTGTTCTTAATTGATTCTTCTACCTAGTTCTTGGCTACAATATATTGTAACTAGGGGTTTACCTATCTATAGCTCCCTGAACTATGGGTTCAGCATATAGTGGGCACTCAATATTGCTCTATATCTCTGTGCTCTATATCTTTGCTCTATATCTTTGTGTATCATTACAAACTAAGCTGGAATCAGAACCCAAGTTGTATGACTTCTAGTTCAAGTTGGGTCCAGATTGTGAAAACGTGGACAGCCACACTAAGAAGGCTAGGTTTTATCCAGAAGGCAAGAAGAGGTTGGTGGAAACCCTCTGAGCCCCTGGAGCAAATTCATCAAACTGACGTTTATATGAAGATTCATTTACTGTTGGTAAACAGGGTAGAGATGGTGGCAAGCAAGAGACAAAGGTGCACTGGTAATGGAAAAGGAGGATCATGTGTGGGTAAGATTATGAGGGATGACTTGAGGGGATGTGGAAGCAGGAGAGGAAGGGAAGTGTCAGCTAATTCTGAGTTTCAATCCAATGGACCAAGAGAATGGAGCTGCTGCAGGAGGTCTGGAAAAGGCAGAAGGACTCATCCTAATCATGTGAAGGTCATGATATGACCTTCAGATAGAATATAAACCTGAATTGAGTATTTTGAAGGAAGTTTTTATTTTATACTGGTAGCCTCCCAAATGGGGTGCACTGGATGATGTACTGGAATGTGGGTAGAAAATAATAGACTTTCCAAGTCTGTATATTTTTAGCTTAAAAGTAAGAAATTAGGACATCAGCAGGAATGGCAGAGGAAGGATCTCCAAAAATATAGTCCTACATAAAAGCAACAAAAATACTGACAAAAGTTGTCACAATCAACTTCTTTGGATGGGGAAATTAACTAAAGGCTTGTAACAATCCAAGGAGTGTTTAATCAAGAAAAACAGCTGAATCTTGGTAAGAATAGCAAGCTTTGTGGCATTTTAACTTGCCATATACCCATCTCCCTCTTCTCAGCTCCATGATAATCTTAAAAGCCAACAGCTGCTCAAATCAGGGTGAAAACCAGCAGCCTAGCAGCCATTGGAGGGAGCAGATCAGGGTTAAGGCTCCCATGTCCCACAGTTCTCACATTGTCATTATTTGACCTGTCTGGCACTTCCCTTTAAACTCCCATTCTAAGTACTTATATTTATTTCACCTGACTCAGACCTTGCTCAGTGCAAGTAGACTTTTTAAAAAACCTGGTATTTATCAAAAACAATCAGCAACATTTATTTAGCATCACAGCTGACTGAAGAGGCAGTAACAGTTGAGTGAGCAAGAAGCTGACTAAAAATCTTAAGAGGATAAGCTGAGGAAGGAGATCCCCTAGTGGGCACTAGAAACTTCCAACATATCCCTGGGAATCTGAAAGGTCATGGGTCTGTGTAGGGCTGTGTGCAACGGCCCAGGGCAATGCACGTGCTCAGGAAAGGATTGAGAAGGCCCTAAGCTCTCACCTCTGGCTGACCTTGAGGCTCTGTGGAAGCAGAAAGTGAAGCCTAAGGCAGAGTTATAAACTGCATGCCTGAGCATGTAAGGCCTGTGGCCCTCACACACATACACAGAGCCCCTCAGTAAAGTATAAGAAACTCATTTGGTACAGGCATTTAAGGAATTGTATAAAGTATGTTCTCTGACCACAATGGAATGAAATTATAAATAACAAAAGGAAATGTTGGGAATTCACAGATAGGTGGAAATTATACAATATACTTCTAAATAACCAAAGAATCAAAGAAGATACTTCAAAGGAGAGTAGAAAATATTTTGAGATGAATGAAAATGAAAACAGCATATCCAAACTTATGAGAGGCAGCTATAGCAATGCTTACAGGGAAATTTATAACTATAAACATTTATATTATTTAATAGAAAATAAGAAATCTCAAATCAATAACCTAACCTTACATTTTAGGAAAGTAGAAAAAGAAGAGAAAACTAAACCTAAAGCAAGCAGAATAAAATAAATAACAGAGATTGGAGGGGAAATAAATGAGATAATAGAAAAAAATAGAGAAAATTAGTGAAACCAAAAGTTAGCTTTTTGAAAAGATCAACAAAGTTGACAAACTTTAGGTGGACTGACTAAGTAACAAATAGAGAAGATTCAAAGTACCAAAATCAGAAACTAAGAGGGGACATTACTACTGACTTTACGGAAATAAAATGGAGTGTAGAATACTATGAACAGTTGTATGCCAACAAATTAGCCCAGATAGATGGACAAATTCCTTTAAAGACATTGTATTAGTCAGGGTTCCCTCAAGAAACAGAACCAATAGGAGATATATATATATATATAGAGAGAGAGAGAGAGAGAGAGAGAGAGAAATTATGTAAATATAACTTCTCAGCCTCCATAATTACCTGAGCCAATTCCTCATAATAAATCTTTTCATATATATGAAAGATATATGTATGAATATATGTTTATATATTTATATAATATATATTATATGAATAGGTATTATATATAATATATATTATATGAATATATATTATATATAATATATATTATATAGAATATATATTATATATAATATATATTATATGAATATATATTATATGAATATATATTATATATAATATATATTATATGAATATATATTTATATAATATATATTATATGAATATATATTATTTATTATGTATTAAATAAAATATTTATCTATTAAAAATGAATATATTATATCTAATTTATATAATTTTATATAATATATAAAATATAAATTAAAAATTATATATAAATATATAATTTACATGTATATTTATATATCCATCTATATAATATATATTCATATATATCTTTTATTTATATGAAAATATTTATATATAGATAATATATGATATATTTATATATAGATAATATATGATATATTTATATATTACTTATATGTTATATATTATAAATATATGTATAGATATATATTTTATGTGCTATATATAAATAATATATAAAATTGTATATTATATATTATATATTTATATATCTATCTTTCATATATATATATGAAAAGATTTATTATGAGGAATTGACTCAAGTAATTACGGAGGCTGAGAATTTCCACAATCTGCAAGCTGGATACCCAGGAAAGCTGGCTATGTAATTCCCATCCAAGTCTGAAGGCCTCAGAATCAGAGGAGCCAATGGTGTTAATGGTAGTAAAAGGGTAAGAGCAGACCGAGATTCCAACAGAAGCAGAAAAGCAAGAATCAAAAGGCATGAATTCTTTTTCCATCTGTCTCTTGATCTCCTCTGGCCCTCAATGGATTAGATGATGCCCAGCAACATTGGGGAGGGCAATCTACTTTAGTGAATCCACGAATTCAAATGCTAATCTCATCCAGAAAACCCCTCACAGACACACTCAGAAACAATATTAAACTGGGCACCTCTTGGCCCAGTCAGATTGATACATACGATTAATGGTATTGTATTAAAGACACAAACTCCCAAAACTGCTTCTAGAAAGAGCTGAAATTCTAAATAGAGCAATAACAAGTAAAGAGATTAATTTAGCAATCAATAATCTTCCCACAAAGAAAAGCCCTGGCCCAGTGGCTTTGCTAATTAGTTCTACCATCCGCAATAGAATTAACACCAATTCTTCACATACTTTTCCCCAAAAATAGATAGGAGAAAGGAATACAGTTATGTGTTGCATAATGACATTTCAGTCAACAACAGATTGCAGCATGATGGTGGTCCCGTAAGATTATAATGGAGCTGAAAAATTCCTATCACCAAATGATGTCACAGTCATACCCATGGCATGGTACAATTATTTTATTTTTAAATAAATTTAAAAATTTAATGTAGCCTAAGTGCGCAGTGTTTATAAAGTCCACAGTAGTGTACAGTAATAGTTTAGACCTTCACATTTATTCACCACTCACACCCAGAGCAACTTCATTCATGGTAAGTGCTCTATGTAAGTGTATCTTTTTTTTTTTTTTTTTTTTTTTGAGACGGAGTCTCGCTCTGTCGCCCAGGCTGGAGTGCAGTGGCGCAATCTTGGCTCACTGCAAGCTCCGCCTCCCAGGTTCATGCCATTCTCCTGCCTCAGCCTCCCGAGTAGCTGGGACTGCAGGCGCCCATCGCCGCACCTGGCTAATTTTTTTTTGTATTTTTTTAGTGGAGATGGGGTTTCACTGTGTTAGTCAGGATGGTCTCTATCTCCTGACCTCGTGATCCACCCACCTCGGCCTCCCAAAGTGCTGGGATTACAGGCGTGAGCCACCGTGCCCAGCTGGTTAAGTGTATCATTTTTGATCTCTTATACCATGTTTTTACCATGCTTTTTCTATGCTTAGATTCACAAATACTTGCCATTAAGTTACACTTGCCTACAGTATTCAGTATAGTATCATGCTGTACAGGTTTGTAGCCTAGGAGCAATAATCTATACCATATAGCCTGGGTATGTAGTAGACTATATGATTTGTGTAGTAGGTTTGTGTAATTACACTTTATGATGTTCAAACAATGACAAAATCACCCAATGACACATTTCTCTCACATTCTCATTAAGCAATGTATTACTATACTTCCCAACACATTCTAAGAGTCCAGTATTATCCTGATACCAATACCAAGGTCATTATAAGAAAAGAAAAGGACCAGGCATGGTGGCTCACACCTGTAATTCCAGCACTTTGGGAGGCTGAGGCAGGTGGATCACGAGGTCAAGAGATCGAGACCATCCTGGCCAACATGGTGAAACCCATCTCTACTAAAAATGCAAAAATTAGCTGGGCGTGGTGGCATGCACCTGTAGTCCCAGCTACTCGGGAGGCTGAGGCACGAGAATCGCTTGAACCCGGGAGGCTGAGGTTGCAGTGAGCCAAGATTGCACCACTGCACTCCAGCCTGGTGACAGAGTGAGACTCCGTCTCAAAAGAAAAGAAAAGAAAGCCACAGATCAATCAGATCAATATTCCTTGTGAATGTACCACAGAATTCCTCAGTGAAATACTACTAAACTGAATCCAACAATATAAAAAGGATTATACATCATGACCAAATGGGATTTTTCCCAGGAATGCATGGTTGGTTTTAACATCTGAAAATCAGTCAGTGTAATGCATCATGTTAATAGAACAAAGGACAAAAACCACACATAATCATCTCATTGACACAGAAAAATTATTTGGCAAAATCCCAAACACTTTCATAATTAAAACAAAACAAAAAAACCTCAACAAACTTGGAATACACAGGAACTTCCTCAGCCATGTAAATGGTATGTGTAGATGTCACATATAAGCTGACATCATACTTAATGGTGAAAGACTGAAAGCTTTCCCCTCTATGATCAGTGATGAGATGAGAAAGTTCACTTTTGTCAACATCGTACTGGAGGTTTTAGCCACAACAGTTGAGCAAGAAAAATATACATTTTTTAAAGGGAAAGGAACAGGAAGAGTAAAACTACCTCTTTTTATAGATGACATGATCTTGTATGCAGGAAATTCTAAGAAATTCACACATACTATTACAGATAATAAATTAGTCTAGCAGTGTTTCAAGATACAAGATGAGTATACAAAAATCAATTCACTTTTATACTCTAGCAATGAGTAAACTGAAAATGAAATTAAGAAAACAATTCGATTTAAAATAGCATCAAAAGAATTAAATATTTAGGAATAAATTTAATAAAGGTAGTGGAAGATACCTACGCTGAAAATAATAAAACCTTGAAAGAGATTAAGGAAGATATAAATAAATAAATACTCTGTGTTAATGGATTGAAAGACTTAGCATTGTTAAGATGGCAGTACTCTCCAAATTTACCTATACATTCAACACAATCCCTACCAAAACCCCAACTACCTTTTTGAAAAAATTGACAAGCTAATCTGAAAGTTCATGTGAAATTTCAAGGCATTTAGCATTGCCAAAACAATCTTGAATAAGAACAAATTGGAGGTGTCACATACGTGATTTCAAAACTTGCAGTAAACCCACAATAATAGTGTGCTACTGACATAAAGTTAGACTTACAGGTCAACTGAATAGAGTCGAGAATCTAAAAATAATTCTTATGATTATGGTCAATTAAATTTCAGCAAGGTGGTGCCAAAACAATTCAATGGAGAAAGAATAGTCTTTTCAGCAAATGGTGCTAGAAAAACTAGATATCCACTTGCAAAAAAAAAAAAAAAAAAAAAAAAAAAAAAAAGAAGTTGAACCCCTACCTCATACCATATACAAAAATTCACTCAATATGGATCAAAGGCCTAAATGTAAAAACTAAAACTATACATTTCCCGGAAGAAAATAATAGGCATAAATCATTGTGACAATGGCTTCTTGGATTTTACACCAAAAGCACAAGCAAACATATAAAAATAGATAATTTAGATTTCATCAAACATGAAAGCTTGAAAGCCTTTGTGCTCCAATGAACATTATCAAGGAAGTGAAAACACCCCACAGAATGAGAGAAAACCATTTGCAAATCATATGTATAAGGTACTAGTGTACAGAATATGTAAAGAATTCCTACAATTCAGTAATAAAAATAAAAATAACTCAAAAAATAAAAAATGGGCAAAGCAGCTAAACAGGTATTTTTCTAAAGAAGATATTCAACTGGATGATAAGTACATAAAAGAAAACTCAATATCACTAGTCACTAGAAATTCAACTCAAACCCACAATACAACCTCACAGCTTCACATTCACTAGGATGGCCATAATAATAATAATAATAATAAAGTATTGGCAAGGATGTGTAAATAGTGGAACCCTAACACATTACTGTTGGGAATGAAAAATGGTACTGCTTCTTTGGAAAGCCAGTTTGGCATTTCTGCAAAAGTTAAATATAGTTAGCCTATAACCCAGCAGTTCTACTCCTTAACATTTACCCAAATATTAAAAACAAATGTCCACACAAAAATCTGTACATGAATGTTTATAGCAGCATTATTCAGAATAGCCAAAAAGTGGAAACAACCCAATGTCCATTAACTGATGAATGTATAAACAAAATGGGGTGTATCCATACAGTGGAGTATTATTTAGATGTAAAAAGGCATGAACTGACATATACTACATCACAGATGAACCTCGAAGACCTTACACTAAGTGAAAGAAGCCAGGCACAAAAGGCCACATATTGTCTGGTTTCATTTTTATAAAATGTCTTCAATAGGCAAATCCATAGAGCCAGTTGGTAGAATAATAGGGTGTAGAGGAGAGTGGAATGGGGTGTAACTGTTAATGAGTGTGGGGTTTTTTTGGGGGAGTGATAAAAATGTCTTAAAATTAGGTGGTGGTGATGGTTGTACGGCCTTGTGAATGTACTACTTATAAAACATACTGATTTGTACACTTTAAAGACGAGAATTTTGTAGTATAAAATTTATAAATTGTAAGAATTTTTAAATGATTTGGAAACTTTAAATACAAATTTAAAATATTGACAAGTTAAAATAGTGACAAGTTTTTAGTACATGTATATAATTTCAAAATAGGCATATGTACATATATTGGTGTTGTGTGTTCAGTAATTTTTCACTGATGGTCTGCTCAACCTACAAAACTTTTGTAAGCAACTTTAGACAAAAGATATGTACATCACCAATAATGAATACTTCCAAAAGTTGCATCTCATTGTATCTAGGACAGAGATTTGCCAGAGTATTATCTCTGTCTCTATTTTCTAATGGCCTAAAATGAAGATGATAGTGAATTAGTAAATTTATAAAAGATATATCGATAAAATAAAATCGGGAAAATCATTCAGCGCTGGCAGTGGCTTGTAAAAATGCGCAGGTGAGGATATAGGGCAAAACAGCTTATTATTGAGTTTCTCAACAGTAAAAATGTCCTGAGCTTATTATAAAGTATTTCCTTTGGCTCTGGACCCTTTTCTTGCCTTTGCCTATTCAAGGGTGCAAATTGGTTTTTAACACAAGAATTAATTTCAATGCTAAGCCTGTTTATGAAAAGATTTCCAAGTACCTTGGGAACAGTCAAAATAAGGCATCTCAGTGGGGAAAATGTTCATATGCTAGACAGAGAGCAAAGATTAATTACATAATGCCTGTTTCTAAAGTACAAGGTTGTATTGTTGGCTTTGTTTTTGTATATGTAGTGGTTTTAAATACATGAACTAGCTAATCTCTAATTGGATAGAGAAATATAGTTCTCTACTGTTTTAATTATTTAGAATAACAAAACTGCTGCTATGAATATGTTAAAATTCCTGAAAAGAAAACCAGCAGCTATTAGTATATAATTATCTGATATACCAGTCTTCAGAGATTTAATGTTTAATTTAAAGCATTTCTTTGTTGTTTTTATAATTTTTGTTAATTTTGGTATTTTAGCAGCCAATTTAGTATAATTTAAGATAAGGGCCAGAAGTTTTCAATCAGGATTAGATACGTACATATACTAAGTGCTACAAGGAACGAAAGCCTGTAACAATTCTTGATGTCCTTTCACGAAATTTCCTTATAAATATTGAGTCTATTGTATTGAATTTCTCTTCTTTTTTTAATTATACTTTAAGTTCTGGGGTACATGTGCAGAACGTGCAGTTTTGTTACATAGGTATACACATGCCATGGTGGTTTGCTGCACCCATCAACCCATCACTTACATTAGAGATTTTTCCTAATGCTATCCCTCCCCTAGCCTCCCATCCCCGCAACAGGCCCCGGTGTGTGATGCACACACCAATGTTCACAACAGGTATGTCCTGGGATCTGAATAAATCTCCAGGTTCTCAGATACCTCCATGGCATTATGTAATTTGGGACTCTTTCTTATACTTGTTCATCTATTTCTTCACATTAATGCTTATGTATGCTCCTGGCTTGCTCATATTTTCTTCAAAAAGCATATGTTTCTCTAGTATATCCTCATAACATAAATTAACATCACCAACCTTTGTACCTATTACATGTCAAGGCAGTTTTTTTCACAGAATAAAGTACTGGCTGAAATATTTTCTCTATTTGTTTTTTCTTCTTTCCGTATAGAGTTCATGGTGAATTTATTCACATCATAAATGGGTGTCCCCATAGCATTTGACAGGCCACACTCGCATTTGTCCAAAATGTCTACTTTCTGGCTAGGAACCATTATCTTTCTTTTAGATCATGTTACTGGAACCAACTGTTAGGTCTCTTCCCAAGGCCATTTTTCACAAAGAAATAAAGATTTAATTACTTCGTAAGAGTTATTGCATAGTCAAGGATGAGTGGGAAGTAGGTATGGACTGTGGGCTGACAGGATGTCTTACTAATTGATGTTTTGCTGATACTCTGTAGGCCTGCTTTGGCATGGCACATAGATGTGCTTTAGAAAATTACGAATATGACATGTCCTAAACCTTCAAGCTGCTAAAAGCTAGTCAGTATCATTAATCTTAAAAAAATTAATTTTGAAATAATCTCAAATTTATAGAACAGCTTCCAGGACTGCCATATATCCTTCATCCTAATTTCACAGATGTTATAATAATTTTACTTTCTTTGCTTTATCATTCTCTCTCAATAGAAAGATACATTCATATATAGATGTAGGGATTTTTTTTTTTACCCTGAGTCATTTTGGAATAAGTTGCAGCCATGATACCAATTTCCCCCTAAATATGTATGTGGTTTCTGAGAAAACAAGGACATTCTCTTAATCAAGTATAGTTCAAATATCAAAATAAATGAACATTGATATAATACTATTATCCAGTTTATAGACCTTATTGAAATATTGCCAGTTGTCTTAGGAATGTACTTCATAGCAAAAGAGGAAAAAAGGCTTTTTCCTAGGCTAGAATTCAGCTCACAATAATTTGTGACATTGTCACATGTCTTTATTTTCCTTTAATCTGAAATTATCTTTCAATCATTTTGATTTTGGGGGGTGGCAGAGCTTTCATGATCTTGATGTTTTTGAATAGTACAGGCCAGTTGCTCTATAGACTGTCCCTCAATTTGGGTATGTCCATTATTTTCTCATGATTAGATTTAGCTTATGCTTTTTTGGAGCAGTATCACAGAAGTGAGGTTGTGTTCTTACGGTAACATAGCAGGAACAACCTTACTGGTTATATTAACTTTGATCACTTAGTGAAGGTGGTGTCTGCCAGAATTCTCCACTATTTTTCCCTTCATAATTAATAGTATTTTGTAGGAAAACACTTTAGGTGTATATAAGTATCCTGCTTCTTATCAACCATTGACCTCCTGGTTTTAGCATGCGTTAATTATTCTGTGAATCAATTATCATGATAGTTACCAAATGCTGACTTTGTGATTCCATCATTTTTTTCTATATTTATTAGTTTCTTTTAAATTAATTAGTTGGAATTCTACTGTAAGGAAAGTTTTCCCTTTTTCCCCATTTATGTATTTATATTAGTATGGACTTACAGCTGCTTCTCTTATTTAGTGAGTTAAGATCTTGGAGTTCAGCTTGCCCAGATTTGGCCAATGAGGGCCTTTTAAAGGTGGCTTGATGATTTTTGGACATGTCCCCGCTAATCATCTTCTTTTACTGGCACAACAAGGTGTCCCAGACTCATATATTCCCAACACTAGCCCTGCAATCAGCCATTTCTTCAAGGAACCTAGGTTATTTTAGCGAAAAATGGTATTTATAAAGCAAAATCTGGGTGCTAGATGTGATCATTGCTACTAGAATATCACTACTTTGGGCCTTTGTACACACACACAAACCTATTCTCTCTCTTTCTTGTCATGTGGATATCTCCAATTCCAATCCCACAGCATAGGATTCCTTCTAGCTATCCCTCTTTTTATGTTTATAGCTCCTTTCTTTCACAGTGAGAAACACGGCTCCCATTATCCGCAGCATATTTATGTATATCCTCAACCTTTTAATACACAGAAAATAGGTTTGGGATTGCTGGCCCATACCACCATGAAAAATGAATCTACTTACTAGAGTTTAACACTTGCTTATAGTGTTTTGCCTTTAGCCTAAGGGTATACACTCAAATGTCTGTAATCAAAAGTAGTTTGATTACATTGTTAACTTGATTTGCTTGGATTATGTTATTAACTTCATTAGGTTTGGTTCATTTACTTTGGTTTATATTACATTTCAGAGTTTTTTTTAATTATTCAGCCTTTATTTTATTTTATTTCATTATTATTATACTTTAAGTTTTAGGGTACATGTGCACAATGTGCAGGTTAGTTACATATGTATACATGTGCCATGCTGGTGTGCTGCACCCATTAACTCGTCATTTAGCATTAGGTATATCTCCCACGGCTATCCCTCCCCCCTCCCCCCACCCCACAACAGTCCCCAGAGTGTGATGTTCCCCTTCCTGTGTCCGTGTGTTCTCATTGTTCAGTTCCCACCTATGAGTGAGAATATGTGGTGTTTGGTTTTTTGTTCTTGCGATAGTTTACTGAGAATGGTGATTTCCAATTTCATCCATGTCCCTACAAAGGACATGAACTCATCATTTTTTATGGCTGCATAGTATTCCATGGTGTATATGTGCCACATTTTCTTAATCCAGTCTATCATTGTTGGACATTTGGGTTGGTTCCAAGTCTTTGCTATTGTGAATAGTGCCACAATAAACATACGTGTGCATGTGTCTTTATAGCAGCATGATTTATAGTCCTTTGGGTATATACCCAGTAATGGGATGGCTGGGTCAAATGGTATTTCTAGTTCTAGATCCCTGAGGAATCGCCACACTGACTTCCACAATGGTTGAACTAGTTTACAGTCCCACCAACAGTGTAAAAGTGTTCCTATTTCTCCACATCCTCTCCAGCACCTGTTGTTTCCTGACTTTTTAATGATTGCCATTCTAAGTGGTGTGAGATGGTATCTCATTGTGTTTTTGATTTGCATTTCTCTGATAGCCAGTGATGGTGAGCATTTTTTCATGTGTTTTTTGGCTGCATAAATGTCTTCTTTTGAGAAGTGTCTGTTCATGTCCTTTGCCCACTTTTTGATGGGGTTGTTTGTTTTTTTCTTGTAAATTTGTTTGAGTTCATTGTAGATTCTGGATATTAGCCCTTTGTCAGATGAGTAGGTTGCGAAAATTTTCTCCCATTCTGTAGGTTGCCTGTTCACTCTGATGGTAGTTTCTTTTGCTGTGCAGAAGCTCTTTAGTTTAATTAGATCCAATTTGTCAATTTTGGCTTTTGTTGCTATTGCTTTTGGTGTTTTAGACATGAAGTCCTTGCCCATACCTATGTCCTGAATGGTAATGCCTAGGTTTTCTTCTAGGGTTTTTATGGTTTTAGGTCTAACGTTTAAGTCTTTAATCCATCTTGAATTAATTTTTGTATAAGGTGTAAAGAAGGGATCCAGTTTCAGCTTTCTCCATATGGCTAGCCAGTTTTCCCAGCACCATTTATTGAATAGGGAATCCTTTCCCCATTGCTTGTTTTTCTCAGGTTTGTCAAAGATCAGATAGTTGTAGATATGCGGCGTTATTTCTGAGGGCTCTGTTCTGTTCCATTGATCTATATCTCTGTTTTGGTACCAGTACCATGCTGTTTTGGTTACTGTAGCCTTGTAGTATAGTTTGAAGTCAGGTAGCATGATGCCTCCAGCTTTGTTCTTTTGGCTTAGGATTGACTTGGCAATGCGGGCTCTTTTTTGGTTCCATGTGAACTTTAAAGTAGTTTTTTCCAATTCTGTGAAGAAAGTCATTGGTAGCTTGATGGGGATGGCATTGAATCTATAAATTACCTTGTGCAGTATGGCCATTTTCATGATATTGATTCTTCCTACCCATGAGCATGGAATATTCTTCCATTTCTTTGTATCCTCTTTTATTTCATTGAGCAGTGGTTTGTAGTTCTCCTTGAAGAGGTCCTTCACGTCCCTTGTAAGTTGGATTCCTAGGTATTTTATTCTCTTTGAAGCAATTGTGAATGGGAGTTCACTCATGATTTGGGTTTCTGTTTGTCTGTTATTGGTGTATAAGAATGCTTGTGATTTTTGTACATTGATTTTGTATCCTGAGACTTTGCTGAAGTTGCTTATCAGCTTAAGGAGATTTTGGGCTGAGACAATGGGGTTTTCTAGATATACAATCATGTCATCTGCAAACAGGGACAATTTGACTTCCTCTTTTCCTAATTGAATACCCTTTATTTCCTTCTCCTGCCTAATTGCCCTGGCCAGAACTTCCAACACTATGTTGAATAGGAGTGGTGAGAGAGGGCATCCCTGTCTTGTGCCAGTTTTCAAAGGGAATGCTTCCAGTTTTTGCCCATTCAGTATGATATTGGCTGTGGGTTTGTCATAGATAGCTCTTTTTATTTTGAGATATGTCCCATCAATACCTAATTTATTGAGAGTTTTTAGCAAGAAGAGTTGTTGAATTTTGTCAAAGGCCTTTTCTGCATCTATTGAGATAATCACGTGGTTTTTGTCTTTGGTTCTGTTTATATGCTGGATTACATTTATTGATTTGCGTATATTGAACCAGCCTTGCATCCCAGGGATGAAGCCCACTTGATCATGGTGGATAAGCTTTTTGATGTGCTGCTGGATTCGGTTTGCCAGTATTTTATTGAGGATTTTTGCATCAATGTTCATCAAGGATATTGTTCTAAAATTCTCTTTTTTGGTTGTGTCTCTGCCCGGCTTTGGTATCAGGATGATGCTGGCCTCATAAAATGAGTTAGGGAGGATTCCCTCTTTTTCTATTGATTGGAATAGTTTCAGAAGGAATGGTACCAGTTCCTCCTTATACCTCTGGTAGTATTCGGCTGTGAATCCATCTGGTCCTGGACTCTTTTTGGTTGGTAAACTATTGATTATTGCCACAATTTCAGAGCCTCTTATTGGTCTGTTCAGAGATTCAACTTCTTCCTGGTTTAGTCTTCGAAGGGTGTATATGTTGAGGAATTTATCCATTTCTTCTAGATTTTCTAGTTTATTTGCGTAGCGGTGTTTGTAGTATTCTCTGATGTTAGTTTGTATTTCTGTGGGATCGATGGTGATATCCCCTTTATCATTTTTTATTGCGTCTATTTAATTCTTCTCTCTTTTCTTCTTTATTAGTCTTGCTAGCGGTCTATCAATTTTGTTGATCCTTTCAAAAAACCAGCTCCTGGATTCATTAATTTTTTGAAGGGTTTTTTGTGTCTCTATTTCCTTCAGTTCTGCTCTGATTTTAGTTATTTCTTGCCTTCTGCTAGCTTTTGAATGTGTTTGCTCTTGCTTTTCTAGTTCTTTTAATTGTGATGTTAGGGTATCAATTTTGGATCTTTCCTGCTTTCTCTTGTGGGCATTTAGTGCTATAAATTTCCCTCTACACACTGCTTTGAATGTGTCCCAGAGATTCTGGTATGTTGTGTCTTTGTTCTCATTGGTTTCAAAGAACATTTTTATTTCTGCCTTCATTTCGTTATGTACCCAGTAGTCATTCAGGAGCAGGTTGTTCAGTTTCCATGTAGTTGAGCAGTTTTGAGTGAGTTTCTTAATCCTGAGTTCTACTTTGATTGCACTATGGTCTGAGAGATAGTTTGTTATAATTTCTTATCTTTTACATTTGCTGAGGAGAGCTTTACTTCCAACTATGTGGTCAATTTTGGAATAGGTGTGGTGTGATGCTGAAAAAAAATGTATATTCTGTTGATTTGGGGTGGAGAGTTCTGTAGATGTCTATTAGGTCCGCTTGGTGCAGAGCTGAGTTCAATTCCTGGGTATCCTTGTTAACTTTCTATCTCGTTGATCTGTCTAATGTTGACAGGGGGTGTTAAAGTCTCCCATTATTATTGTGTGGGAGTCTAAGTCTCTTTGCAGGTCACTCAGGACTTGCTTTATGAATCTGGGTGCTCCTGTATTGGGTGCATATATATTTAGGATAGTTAGCTCTTCTTGTTGAATTGATCCCTTTACCATTATGTAATGGCCTTCTTTGTCTCTTTTGATCTTTGTTAGTTTACAGTCTGTTTTATCAGAGACTAGGATTGCAACCCCTGCCTTTTTTTTGTTTTCCATTTGCTTGGTAGATCTTCCTGCCTCCTTTTATTTTGAGCCTATGTGTGTCTCTGCACGTGAGATGGGTTTCCTGAATACAGCACACTGATGGGTCTTGACTCTTTATCCAATTTGCCAGTCTGTGTCTTTTAATTGGAGCATTTAGTCCATTTACATTTAAAGTTAATATTGTTATGTGTGAATTTGATCCTGTCATTATGATGTTAGCTGGTTATTTTGCTCGTTAGTTGATGTAGTTACTTCCTAGCCTCAGTGGTCTTTATAATTTGGCATTGGCATGATTTTGCAGTGGCTGGTACCAGCTGTTCCTATCCATGTTTAGTGCTTCCTTCAGGAGCTCTTTTAGGGCAGGCCTGGAGGTGACAAAATGTCTCAGCATTTGCTTGTCTGTAAAGTATTTTATTTTTCCTTCACTTATGAAGCTTAGTTTGGCTGGATATGAAATTCTGGGTTGAAAATTCTTTTCTTTAAGAATGTTGAATATTGGCCCCCACTCTCTTCTGGCTTGTAGAGTTTCTGCTGAGAGATCCGCTGTTAGTCTGATGGGCTTCCCTTTGTGGGTAACCCGACCTTTCTCTCTGGCTGCCCTTAACATTTTTTCCTTCATTTCAACTTTGCTGAATCTGACAATTATGTGCCTTGGAGTTGCTCTTCTCGAGGAGTATCTTTGTGGCGTTCTCTGTATTTCCTGAATCTGAATGTTGGCCTGCCTTGCTAGATTGGGGAAGTTCTCCTGGATAATATCCTGCAGAGTGTTTTCCAACTTGGTTCCATTCTCCCTGTCACTTTCAGGTACACTAATCAGACGTAGATTTGGTCTTTTCACATAGTCCCATATTTCTTGGAGGCTTTGTTTGTTTCTTTTTATTCTTTTTTCTCTAAACTTCCCTTCTCGCTTCATTTCATTCATTTTGTCTTCCATCACTGATACCCTTTCTTCCAGTTGATCGCATCGGCTCTTGAGGCTTCTGCGTTCTTCATGTAGTTCTCGAGCCTTGGCTTTCAGCTCCGTCAGCTCCTTTAAGCACTTCTCTGTATTGGTTATTCCAGTTATACATTCGTCTGAATTTTTTTCAAAGTTTTCAACTTCTTTGCCTTTGGTTTGAATTTCCTCCTGTAGCTCGGAGTAGTTTGATCGTCTGAAGTCTTCTTCTCTCAACTCGTCAAAGTCATTCTCCGTCCAGCTTTGTTCCGTTGCTGGTGAGGAGCTGCATTCCTTTGGAGGAGGAGAGGCGCTCTGCTTTTTAGAGTTTCCGGTTTTTCTGCTCTGTTTTTTCCCCATCTTTGTGGTTTTATGTACTTTTGGTCTTTGATGATGGTGATGTACAGATGGGTTTTTGGTGTGGATGTCCTTTCTGTTTGTTAGTTTTCCTTCTAACAGACAGGACTCTCAGCTGCAGTTCTGTTGGAGTTTGCTAGAGGTCCACTCCAGACCCTGTTTGCCTGGGTACCAGCAGCGGTGGCTGCAGAACAGTGGATTTTTGTGAACCGCGAATACTGCTGTCTGAACATTTCTCTGGAAGTTTTGTCTCAGAGGAGTACCCGGCCGTGTGAGGTGTCAGTCTGCACCTACGGGGGGGTGCCTCCCAGTTAGCTTCTCAGGGATCAGGGGTCAGGGACCCACTTGAGGCAGTCTGCCCGTTCTCAGATCTCCAGCTGCGTGCTGGGAGAACCACTGCTCTCTTCAAAGCTATCAGACAGGGACATTTAAGTCTGCAGAGGTTACTGCTGTCTTTTTGTTTGTCTGTGCCCTGCCCCCAGAGGTGGGGCCTACAGAGGCAGGCAGGCCTCCTTGAGCTGTGGTGGGCTCCACCCAGTTCAAGCTTCCTGGCTGCTTTGTTTACCTAAGCAAGCCTGGGCAATGGCAGGCGCCCCTCCCCCAGCCTCGCTGCCACCTTGCAGTTTGATCTCAGACTGCTGTGCTAGCAATCAGCGAGACTCCGTGGGCGTGGGAGCCTCCAAGCCATGTGCGGGATATAATCTCCTGGTGCGCCATTTTTTAAGCCTGTTGGAAAAGCGCAGTATTAGGGTGGGAGTGACCCGATTTTCCAGGTGCCATCTGTCACCCCTTTCTTTGACTAGGAAGGGGAACTCTCAGGGTTTTGTTTTTTTTTTAAATCTCTCTTGATTATTTTTTTGAATGCATGAACTATGCTTCCAATAGCCAGAACTATACAAAAAACATATTTAAATAAATGCCATTCCTCTATACTTTCAGTTTCTACCCCAACCATCTTTTTCACCCTGTACTTATCCATCCCCTATTGGTAACCAATTTCATCAGTTTCTAGGTTAATCTTGTTGTGTTTCTTCTTGGAAAAATGCTCAGATAGTTGTATATTTTCTTATTTCTCCTGATCTCTTTCACAAAAAAATATACTGCATATTCTCTTGTTCACCTTGCCTTTTCCATTTAACAGAATATCCTGGAAATCACTCCCTATTAATTCACAGAGATCTTCATTTCTCGTAACACTGCATAGTCTTCCATATGTGGATTTGCGTTTATTCAATCACTGTGTTATGAATGGGCAATTAGATTGTCTTCAACAACCATTATATGCTTCTAACGGAACTACATACAATGGGTAACTGTGTATATATTAATATATATACATATATTCTTATTTGTTGAAGGTATATATTTAGCATAAATTTCTAGAGTGGGATTGCTGAGTCAGGAGGTAAACACATAGGTAGCTTTGTTAGATATTGCTAAATGACCCTTCAAAAAATTTGTATGAATTTGCATTTTCATCACCAATATATGAGAGAGTCTGTCTTCAACCCATTCTCACTAACAGAATATGTTGTCGTACTTTTTATTTTTTGCCAATCTTATAGATAACAAATGGTTTCTCAACGTCATTTTTATTTGCATTCCTATAATTATGAGTCAAGATGGATATCTTTTCAAATGTATCTTTTGTGTGTGTGAATTGTCTATTCATGTGTTTTGCCCATTTTTCTATTAAGATTTTGATTTTCTTTTCCCTTCAATTATTTAGAGTTCTTTATATGTTAGGATTATCACCTCTTTATCTGTGACATGTACTGAAAATACTTTCTCCCAGTTTGTCTTCTGCCTTTTGTTTTTTGCTTGTCGTGTTTTGTGTCATGCAAACGTGTTGTTATTTTTTTAATCTAACCAATTTACAAATCTTTTTTTTTTTTTTTTTGCCTCTGGATACTTACAAAATCTTTCTTACATTTGAAGTATAGAGGAATTCACCCTTGCTTTCTTCTAACACTTGTCTGGTTTCATTTGCTTACATTTTTATCTCTGATCCATTTGGAGTTTATTCTTGTTAAAAAAAATTTGGAGTTTTATCTTTTTCAGGTGGCTATGGAACTGTACTAGCACCTTTTTATTGAAAAGGCCTTGTCCTTATCATTTGAGCTGTTTCCTTTATCATATACAAATTTTCCTTATGTATTTGCATCTCTTTTTGGACTTTCTATCCCATTCACTGGTGTATCTGTCTATTTATCTGCTAGATCTGCACTGTTTTAATTATACAGACTTTATAGTATGTGTTAATATCTGATAGGGCTGGCCTGGCACGGTGGCTCATGCCTGTAATCCCAGCACTTTGGGAGGCCGAGGTGGGCGGATCACGAGGTCAGGAGGTCGAGACCATCCTGGCTAACATGGTGAAACCCTGTCTCTATTAAAAATGCAAAAAAAAAAAAAATTAGCAAGGCGTGGTGGTGGGCGCCTGTAGTCCCAGCTACTTGGGAGGCTGAAGCAGGAGAATGGCGTGAACCCGGGAGGCGGAGCTTGCAGTGAGTCGAGATCACGCCACTGCACTCCAGCCTGGGTGACAGAGCGAGACTCCATCTCAAAAAAAAAAAAAAAAAAAGTCTGATAGGGCTAATGACTCATAGCTTTTCTCTTCCATTTTTCTCAATTTATTCTTGCATGTTTATTTTTCCATACAAACTACAGGTTATCTAACTCCATGAGAACTTGTTGGCATTTTTACCATTACATTACCTTATATTACATTACATTAATGCGATCTCATGTAATGTAATGAGATCACATTAAATTTATAAATTAACCTGGGAAGAGTTGACATATTTCTAATGGTGAATTGTTCTATCCCAGAACAAGAGCAATCTTTCCATTTGTTCAAGTCTACTCTTGTGTCTTGATAGTTTTTTAACTTTTTCTTTATAAAAGTTTTGCACGTGAACCATTAAGTTTATCTCTTTTATTTTCTTTGTTGTCATTCTAAATGAGGCTTTGTCTGTGATTATATTCTCTAAGTGGTTATTGTTTTGTGTATATAAAGGCTATTGATTTCTATATGTTAATTTATATCCTGTTATTATATTTAATATTTTTATTATTTGATATAATTTTATTACTGATTCTTCAGGTATGTTTTCACAGTATCTGCAAGTGAAGATGACTTTACTTTTTATATGATTTCTCTTATACAACTATATTGGCTGATACTTCCAAGGCAATATTAAATAGTATTGAAAATATTATACCCACATATGCATATAAATATATAATACATATATTATATATATTTTCAGCATGTTAAGAAAGTATTCATCATTTCCTACTTTCTTCATTGCTTTTATCAGGAGTGGATACTGAATTGTGTCAAAAGCTTTCCAGCATCTGTTAAAATAATTATATTATTTTTCTCCCTAGATTGATCAATATAATGTCTAATAATGGATTTCCTCATATGAGCAGACTTGCATCCTGGAATGCATCTCACTTGGTCATGGTGTATTATTTTCTTAGTGTATACTAATCTTAAATAATTATCAAAGCTCTATGGCAGTGTCATTCAGAAACAATATCCCCTCGGGGACTTACTGAATTGATTTCCGCTGAATCAGAATTCTGTGAAGAGTCACAGGAATCTGCTTTTAACAAATTCCATAGAGGTGGTCTTTGTGCATGCTGAGAACCACTGGTCTACTATATTGTTCAATGTGAATTTTAATGGAAATTACTGTAAAAAAATATTTACTTTAGCAAAGGTCCTGCTCCATGATTCCTTTGAAAAGCTGCTTTGTATCTTAAACTTATAAATTCTAGATCATGATCCAGCTGTAGGAGAGTAGATGATACAGAGAAATTAAAAGGTAAAATATTTTTTAGTTTCAGCTGATACCTGAATATTCATTTATCCACTCATACATTTATTTAGCTTTTTTTAGCACTGTGAAAGGATGAGAAACAAAAATGTGTAAGACCCAGTTCCTGTACAACAGTAGAATAACTTGAAGATTATATAAATGTTTGTAAGATACTAGGCATTATTTAGAAATGTTTTCCAGGAATTTTATAGGTCTGAGGGGCTTAAAAAAGGAAATGGATCAGAAAAGACTTAAAAAAGGAGGTGATTCTTCAGATGAAGTGTCTTTCCAATATAACATTAACAAATGGGGGAATAAATTGCAAAAACCTCATTTACATGAAACGTTTTAGAAATGCATCTCTTACACATGGTGTACTAGTATACCAACATTTCAACTCTCATCAAACACAGCTATACAACATCACTCATATATATATGAGGGGAGAGCTATCTCTAAATGGAGGCATCTCTATACATAACCTATGAATGAATTTCTTTCCAAGATACCCAAACTTAATAGAAACACTGAATAACATCAGTAGCAAAATAGAAACCATCAGTAATAAATGGAAACTTCAGTAAATGGGAGATGAACTGCCACCCTTCTATTAGTATGCTTCAAATTCTCTTAAAGACAAAAAAAAATGTATGCTCTCTTTCTATGAGAATTTGTGATAGTTTGGTTCCACTCCATTTATTCTTGGTATCAGACTTGCTTATCCAAGACAACTGCTGTGTGGGAGAAAGACCATAAAAATCCTGTGACTAACACTCACAACAGGGGTCATGATTATGACTTGGCTTAGTATGGAATGTATTTCTTCTTATCATGTGAATGGCCCCCATGTGATTAGAGGGATGGCAATATTTTGAAGTACAAACCTGGTGCTGCTTGCTCTGAAGAAAATTCTAAGTCTAATGTAGTAAGGATTCTTCTGTTTCCTAATTTTAATGATCTAAAGGGAGGAGTGGTTTTTCATTGCCAACATTTTTATTTACCCAAAGTCTGCAGAATTTAACTGATGCTTCACGCTGAATATGCTACAAATGATGTAGCATCAGGTGGTTTGGCACACACCTTGCATCTGATTCAAACTGCAGCAAGTGTCAAGCAGGATAGAAGCAAATGTCACACTGAAGTCTTGGTTAATCTATTCCAGCTCAGTTTTAACCATCACTCTTCAGTAGTTAACTCATCAAATCATTAAAATAAAATGTTCATATATGAATAGCTTTTTGGATTGCCTTAGCAAAGGGAAGACAGAAAACACTTCAATTAAAAAAAAAATATATATAATATATATATATATATATATATATATAGAGAGAGAGAGAGAGAGAGAGAGAAAGCCATTCAGACTGACAATATGAAATTCAGATATCAAAAATAAATCCTGGATGAATTCTGAAATAGAAAACATATACATATAATATACAATCTATTCTGAACAGTCTAAGTAGTATGTTTTGAGAAACAATAAGATTTAATGTACGTTTATTGAGCTTGGTCATATTAATTTTAATAATTTCTTTTTAAATTTGCAGTTGGTAATCAGTGGATAAATTACATATCATTCTGTGGTCTTAGAACACATGCAGAGCTCGAAGGAAACCTAGTAACTGAGCTTATCTATGTCCACAGCAAGTTGTTAATTGCTGATGATAACACTGTTATTATTGGTAAGTACAGTATATGGTCTATAATTGTATTCCTTGCCAGTTGACTTACCCCATGCAAAAATGTTTGCTGCTATTCCTCCTAAGCATCCTTTGCATTTGAAACAGACAGTAACACCATAACTA
Source organism: Homo sapiens (assembly GCF_000001405.40). Taxonomy (NCBI): domain Eukaryota; kingdom Metazoa; phylum Chordata; class Mammalia; order Primates; family Hominidae; genus Homo; species Homo sapiens. The sequence goes on along the minus strand of NC_000003.12, from coordinate 171,620,262 downwards.
AAACATTTCTGAAGCCATCCTCTTCTCTTACATCCTTTCTAACCCAGTTGTTGAAATTGTTATAGGTACAGAATAGGTGTATATATTCATGGGGTACATACGATGTTTTGATACAGTCATACAATGTATAACAATCACATCAGGGCAATTGCAGTACCTATCACTTCAAGCATTTATCATCTCTTTGTGAACTAAACTATTTTTATCTGTGAAGAATCAGAGGTACAGAGCAATTAAATGGACTTCGTGAAAATTGCAGAATCCAGAGGCAGCTGTTTAACCCAGCAGTCCAATAATGTGCCAGATTTCACTAATTCTTTATTACTCCCTTTTTTTTTTAATTTTTAAAACTATTTTTGAGATGGGGGTCTCGCTGTGTTTCCCAGGCTGGTCTCAAATGATTCTTCTACCTCAGTCTCCCGTGTGCTGGGATTACAGGCCCGAGCCACCACACCCAGCTATCCCCTTATTTTTATTTACAATCCAAGTGCCCAGATTTCAGGGATTGGTGGGGGATAAATGGGGAGGGAAAGTGTGTCATAAGTGAGTACCTTGTGGTAATTCGTATGTGTTTATACCACATCCACCTAACCATTACCACAGATCTGAAGTTGTACAAAAGTCGAAATCAGAAGGATGGTAAAATATTGCTGCCTCTATGCATTACCACTATTTTTCCTAACATGCATGTTTTCCATGTCATTAATTAGGATGTAGAGCAGTCCAACTTTGTTGATGTGTATGGATGAAGTGGGAATTGTGTACTAATGATAGGATGTAGCCCTGCACTAAGGTCTGCAGTCATTTCTTGTCAAGGATACACAGGAGACTTTTCCAAAGGCCTCTTCCCACTGACAAATTCAGGAGAGTTACTCTCCTAAATAACTTGTACATTCTACCCAAATTAGATTAGCTTGACAAGAGAGGTAGATGTTCAGCTTCATTCTTTTATATACATAGAAAGCTTCATTCTTCCATCATTGAATTATTTTGACTTCTAATATTAATATTATATAAAATGAGTATTGGAAGTCCAGGATGATAGAGTATAAATAATCAACCAGGTAAATGAGGTAACCAGTGTGGGTCATGTTATTTAGAGAGATGATGTGTCCTACTAATGGGAATTCTGCTCATCTGTTTCAAATGAAATGTAGTTTATCAGCTATAATAAGATACTTTCCTATTATTCAAGAAACTAAATGTCATGGAGTGTTTTGAAAATTTTGGACAATAAATATGCTTTCTATTCTCCACTGAGAAAAGAAAACATATCTCATATCTGAGAAGAATAAAACTGTCTTATCTGGAACATGATTTGAATAGAAAAGAAACATAGTTCTGAAGCCAGAAACTGTGTAAACCACAGTGTGGTGAGATACATACACACACACACACACACACGCACACACACTTTTAATATTTGTATAGCACATTAAAATAATATTGTTCCTTTATCTCCTCGTCTATAGCCAGAAACTGTGTAAACCACAGTATGGTGAGATACACACACACACACACACACACACACACACACACACATACACACTTTTAATATTTGTATAGCACATTTAAAAAATACTGTTCTTTTATCTCCTGGCCTATAGGGATAAAAGCTCTTTAGGAGTTTATTTATTCCCCCATTTGCCCTAATACTCAAGATTTCATTTATTTCTCCTGAGCTACTCTGACTTGCTCTTCAAAAGCAAATCTCAGAATACTTTGGAATTAAATTTGACAATGACAGTAAGAAATAAAAACTATTGATGTTTGCTGAAATGGAAAAATAAACAAAGCCACATATTTCTTCACCAAGATTTCAGAAGCCTTGAAGTAAAAACTGACAGATGTAAATATTTTTTTGAAAGGTCATTTTGACTTTCAGCCTCGTTTACTTTACATGAAGTATAAATACAAATTAGTTTTTGGTAACAGAGCTAACAGTTAAATAAATTTGTTGAGGTTTTTAATTGACTTATTTTCTGGAAAAGTCTCTAAACACTCAAAGACTCCAATTTATTTTGTTTAGCAATACTTGATCAATTTTGCACACAATTCTTACACATTCTCTTGAAACTGAGGATATGGCCCTGGGAGTCTAAAGAGGTCTTACTTGCTAGTCCTTGGAGGCTGGATTCCTTTTTTCCTTCCCCAAGTGCCTTAGAGAATCGATTTCTCCCAAGGAAAAAATCCAGAGTTTCTTTTGTTCTTTTTATCTCGGTGGAAACTCAAGAATAAGCAGGTTTATTGTTACTGTTCTAACACATTCACCCTATTTAAGTTCCTAACACAGAAAACAGTGTTTAAAATTCTCAGAGACGAGTTTGAGAAGTTAGGTTGAGAATATTTTATAGGTGTTAAGGAAGTATTTAAACATTTAAAGGAGGTTTAAGTAATGTATGATTAATTTTTCTTCCATGGCAAACTTATGCCAGAATGATTGAATAGCTGACATAAGAAAAATGACCATTTATCTTCATTTTACTCCTCATGAGGAAATATTTGTTTTCTCACACTGAAGATCTCTTTTGTGCATAGCTTTAATTGCCTGTGGCCCTGGGTAACCCTGCTGGTCATGAAATCTGTGACCAAATCCAGTTTTCTTACCTATCTTAATTTTAGCCTTTAACCAGACACACATATATTTGGTTTCCAAAACAAAGCCAAGCTCCCCTTCAAGTAGATTTTAAGCCTATCCTGATGACTAAGTGAAACGGTTGTTTTTAATGTTCACTAACCCACTGCAAAGCACAATAGAGAGATGCGAAACGTGAGTAAAACAGCGCCACTGCCCTCCCAGAGATCACTGGCTGGAGGAGAGGCAGCTACTCCTTCCATATGAGAGCAGAAACACTAGGATGGATGTTGCCAAACCAGAACAAGAAGGTTCAGGGGCAATCAACAAGTGTGGGTAGGAGGAGAAACTAAGTCGAGCTCATGAGTCTCAGGATTTAAAGAGCAGGCTTCACTGTGGCAGATGAGAGGCTGGAGTTGAAGGGCTGCCCCAGTAAAGAGGGGGATATTTCCTCATGTCTGCAATTTGCTTTTAAATGGATCAAAACAAAAATATAAATTAACAATGGATACAGGGATGGAGTGGTATACCAATGCCTGGTTCTTATTTCTAGAAATTATGATCTAGTTGGTCTGGTTTGGGGCCAGGCATTTGGGTTTTTTTGGTTTTGTTTTTGGCATCAGTATTTTTTAAAAAGCTTCCTTGTTAGCTTTCCTAGGTAATGCTCATATGTGGTCAGAGCTGAGAACTTCTGACCTGGAGGCAAAGGAAATACAAGTAGGCAGAAAAGACAGAGTAGCCCAGTGTGCTCAATAGAAGAACCAGTTTTCCTTCAAAACAAACTAAAACGGGGTAGAGTTCGTGCGTTCGTTTCCCATTACTGCTGTAACAAATGACCACAAACTTAGTAGCTTAAAACAACACAAATTTATTATCTGACACTTCAGTAGGTTAGAAATTCAGCGTGAGTCCCACAGGACTAAAATCAGAGTGTGAGCAGGGCTGTTGCATTCTTTTAGAGGCCGTTAGGGAGAGTCCATTTCCTTGTTTCTAGAGGCTGCCTGCATTCCTTGGCTCACAGCCCCTTCTTCCACCTTTAAAGTCAGCAACATTCTATCTCTGAAAATCCCCAAAAGTCTCAACCCATTCTTCTGTAATCATAACTCAGTCTGACTCCCTTTCACTTTTACAGATCTTATGATTGTATTGGGTCCACCTGTATAATCCAGGCTACTCACTCTATTTTTAAAGTTAGCTGATTAGCAACCTTAATTCCATATACAGCCTTAGTTCGCCTTTGCCATTGAACATATATTCACAGTTTTCGGAGATTTGAACACGGACATTTTGGAGAGCTGCTATTCTGCATACCACACAAGGATTCACAATTTCTAAGTGAGACACACAAAATAAGCACAAACCACAAAGGAAAGATAAATCCAACTGCATTAAAATTCAGAAATTTCTTCATTAAAAGGTACTGTAAAGAGAATAAAAAGATAAACCACAAACTGAAATATTTGCAACCCATTTAATACACAGAACACATAAAGAACTCCTATAAATCAATAAGAAAAAACAAATGTCCAAAGAAAAATGGGCAAAGAAATTGTATAGGAACTTCATCAAAAAGAACATACCCAAGCCTCATAAGCATGTGAAAAAATGTTGCTTCTCATTAACATGAGACAAATAAGAGTTTTTAAAAATACCAGACTGGCAAACAGTTAAAAGTTGGGCAATCTAAGTATTGGCATGGCTGTGGAGCAATACAGACTCCCCTCCACTGCTGTTGGGAGTGTAAGTTGGAAAACATTCTGGTGTTACCTAGTAAAGTCATACACCCTGCAGCTTAGCAACCCACGCCTACATACAGAGCCTAAGAAACTCACACATGTCTATACCAAGAAACAAATACTCAGCTATGTAGAGCAGAATTGTGCATCACAGCAAAACTCTGGAAGCAACCCAAACATCCATCAATAGCAGAATAAATAAAGAAATCCCTAGTGTGTTCATTCAAGGAAAAGAAATGCATTACAATTATGTACAGAAAAATCTCAAAGACATAAGACTGAATGAAAGAAGCAAATCTCAAAGGACTATCTGATATATGATTCCACTTATATAAATTAAAAACAAGTCAGAAGTAAACTCTTTTTTTGTTGTTTAGGAAAACATTCAGAGCATGATGAACACAAAGTTAAACATCAAGTCTTCCTCTTGGGGAGGGAAGGGTATGCATGGGAAGGTGCACAAAGCCTTCTGGGATGTGGTAATATTGTTTTTGGCCAGGGTAATAAATTCAGTGATGACTATTTTATTATTGCTTAAGTTTTACACACATATTTTCATATAGCCTTTTGTATTTTGCCATATTCACAATTTTTAGAATGTTTTCTAATAGCACTCAGAACAGGTCATATAAACAAGAAGGATGCTTATAGAGTAAAAGACCAAAATTCCCCTTATTTTCTTCTCTCTCTTCACTGAAAAGCACCTACTATTGTTAACAGTTCAGTGTGTATCTTTCTAGATCTCTTGTTCTGTCTTCTTCCTCATATGTTGTATAAAAATAGGGTAATACTACAACTGTTCTTCTGAATTTGATTTTCAGAATACAGGAACAAATGGAGGGAGCATTTACATCCATCATATCTTATTATATCTAATTTATTCATTCATCTAAAATTTTCTCATTTCTTTCCTCACATGCCTATTAAATAGCAGCCAACACACTTATTTAATGTGGTGGAGAGTCAGTTATCTGGGTAATTCCATGTTGGCCCTTAAAATACAAGAACGACACCCTCTGTCTAATAATTCCAGCTCAGAATGCTGGAAATGTATTCCTCACCTCGGGAGTGTCGGGGCCCACTGTGGTGGGAGAGGAATGGGGGCGCGTGGGAGAATGTGTGTGCGGAGGGGGCTTTCCAGGCTGGCTCACATCCCAGGTTCTCCTGACCCGAAACAAAGCAGTGATGTCAGTTCAATCCAGCAGCCCCCGCCTGACAGCGGCCTCTGCTGGCTCCAGGGGCACAGTAAAAGTCCTAAAGTAGCAATATGGGATCTTCAATCTTTGAGCTCCTACAGTTCACACATGGGGCGATTAAGCCAGAGAGGAGGCTTCTTTAAACAAATGCTACATTCCATCAAATGGTCGGTTCCTATGGCAGCATTCTCCGGTGCAGTTATTGTAGAGTTAACAAGGATCTGATAATAATGCCAGTAATAATTAACATTTGTAGAGCAGCTTGTAAATCATTAAGTGCTTTCACATGGTCTTACTTAATTCCCACAATATCCCTACAAGGTCTATATTATTATCTCAATTTATGAAAGATTATATTAAAGCTGAGAAAGATTAAGTGAATTGCCCAAATTAATGTTGGGGCAACTGTCAAGCTCAAAGATATAGCTGCAAATTTTATAGCATAACCACGATGTAAGTCTATGTATAAAGGATGATTTGGTGCTAACAAAACAAAGTGTTTCAAAGGTTCCCACTTTTCAGCAGCACTCCAGTAGCATTCTCACATTTCTGTAGGGTGCTCGATCCTTTCTCTGTTACCCAGGGCCACCATGGGGAAACACTCACATCCATAGTCATCATAGATTTATATATTAACCACATGACAATATTCTGGCAACAGGCAGTAAAGTCTCTTCAGGAAAGGGCAGCTTTTCTCATTCATCTCACCATTTGAGCTCTGGTAGGGCTGCTGTCACCTTATAGCTCTGGCTGCTCCAGTCAGAGGGCCGCCAGGGTGCCTGTTCAACCTGACCCTTCTGCTCCACGTCTGAAGAAGCAGTGGAGTTGTTGCAGCTAGAGCAAGAGGAACAAGAAGAGTCAGTCAGGCCCTTTCTGTAGTTTGCAGGACACCTCAAGGATTCAAATGCATGAATCTGCAGAGATTAATGCAAAAAAACGTGATGAGGTTCCTGAATACACAGCAGAGGACTGCAGAAAGCACAGGTTGAACTAATAGCAAAATATTTGCCCTTCACATGTAAAAGTCAACATTCTCAGCTCACTTGGATTTAAAAAAAAAAATGGACTCCTTGAATGAACCAGGTATTGAGCTAATAAAGAGAATTAATAATTTTAAAAAATAGAATGGAGGAAAGTTGCTACAGAAGCTATTGGCATGCTACACAAGTGAGGGAGGCAAGAAAGCAGAAAGCCCAAAGCCACAAATGACAATCTGTATTTGAGATTATACTCTATTAATTATGAAGGTACTCTTGAGTTTTGACATTCACAGTTATGTGACTTTGAGTTAAAGCCTACAGAGAGCCTGATTCTTAACTCCAAAAGCAAAGCCATCTTTCCTACTGAACTGGTAGGCATGCCTTTTTTCAAGTGCTTGATGATTGTAACAGTTAGAATCTTTTGTGCCACAAGGTAGAAAACTCAACTAGAAGTGTGTGTGAAACAATAAGGAACAATGTAGAAAATAAGGAAAATATATTATTTCACATGACAGAAGGTAAGAATATTCAAAGGTTGGCTAATTCAATGACTTAAAGACCCAGAATCTTTCTTCTTTTTTAATTGTTATTTTTATGTTTTGTTTAGAGATGAAGTCTTGCTCTTTGGCCCAGGCTGAAGTGCAGTGGTGCAGTTACAGCCCACTGCAAATTTGAAATCCTAGGCTCAGGCGATCCTCCTGCCTCAGCATTCCGAGCAGCTGGGACTACAGGCATGCGTCACCACACTCAGCTAATTTTTAAAAACTTTTTGTAGAGACCAGGTCTCGCTATGTTGTCCAGGCTGGTCTCAAACTCCTGGCTTTAAGCGATCCTCCTGCCTTGGCCTCTCAAAGCACTGGGATTACAGACATGAGCCACCATGCCTGGCTCTTTTTTCTACTTAGCATTTTCTTTAAGCTTTTTTGTTTGTTCTCTAGTGGTTGTGAAATGGCTGCAGCAGCTCCTGGAATCATGTCTTCTTCCAACCCTTCAAGCCAAGATATCCAAAGGATGGAAGAGACAGAATCCATTTTTTGTGTGTTTATACAAAGGGGAAACTCTTTCTCAGAAGCTTTCCTTCATGTCACATTGGCTAGCACCATGTCAAGAGCCCATTTCTAAGCCAGTCACTAATAAAAATAATGAAATTACCATGGCTGGCTTAGACTGATTAAGATTCACCCCTGGGTTAGGGAGGGCCCCACCTCCCTAAAAACACATCTTCCCTTGAAAACCTGGACAAAATTACGGTTTTGTTTGCAAGGATGAATTGAGTTGGGAGGGCAACCAACAGTGTCTGCCACAACAGGAAGGTTGTTCAGCCTCACTGTTTCTCCTTACAGGCTCTGCCAACATAAATGACCGCAGCATGCTGGGAAAGCGTGACAGTGAAATGGCTGTCATTGTGCAAGATACAGAGACTGTTCCTTCAGTAATGGATGGAAAAGAGTACCAAGCTGGCCGGTTTGCCCGAGGACTTCGGCTACAGTGCTTTAGGTCAGTCCGCCAAAGTGTGTCTCTCTGATGCATTTCCACTGCAGCAGTCGCTGGGACCCAGCCCCGCTAGCCCTGAGCACATGGGTCATCCTAGGTTCTTCTTCATCTAAAACAGTGTGTCCCAGAATATAGGATATGTACCACCAGTAGTATGCGAAATGACTTTAGGTGGTACATGAATATTTTTTATTTTAATAGCTTTTTATTACTGTCACGTGCAGTAGAAAAAACTGCAGTGGTGCAGTTACAGCTCATTGCATCCTTGAATTCCTAGGCTCAAGCAATCCTCCTGGCTCAGCATTCCGAGTAGCTGGGACTACAGGCCCGTGTCACCACACCCAGCTAATTTTTAAAAATTTTTTGTAGATACCGTGTCTCGCTGTGCTGCCCAGGCTGGTCTCAAACTCCTGGCTTTAAGTGATCCTCCTGCCTTGGCCTCTCAAAGCACTGGGATTACAGACGTGAGCCAATTAAATACTAGTCCTTAACTGAATTAGGACTAGACCAGGTCAAACCCTCCAGCTTCCATTTAAGTTTTTAAAATCAAATTAATTCCAGTAATACAAGGATATAATAAAAATTATTGAAGGGGTATGCCAGTGACTGCTGGTGTAAAATTTAAATGTGGAAACTTCTGTTTTCAGGTCTAAAATGACTCCAGGTGTCGAAGATCCCTGATCTTTGGCAAGAAGATGCAAATTTTAAACTAATCTGTGGTGAAGCAGAGAGAATACTGGGCTAGGAAGCTGGGCTCGTTTCAGCTGTGCGATCCTAAATAAGTCCATTCAATAAAGTGTTATTTAGAACTTTCAAGGGCTGCGCTGTAACTGTCCACGTCCCCTGTTGTGTTTTCTCAACACAGTGGTCCCTCTAGAACCTTCTAGATCATGTTGCTTCTCTGCTCACTACTGTCCAATGGCTTCTTATCTCACAAGGAACAAGTAATATAATCTCGTCTCCTTTCACTGTTTCCCTTGCTCCCTGCAGACACTCATTTCCCCACCGGCTGTGGAACACCCTGACTACTCTCCCAACTCTAGGCCTTTGTAGGAAGTCCACAGTTTTATGATTCTAGAACTATATTTGCCATAATGCAATTTTGGTGAGGACTGTATAGTGGGATGCAGCAGGTGGCCCCGATATAGTTAAGATCAGTGCGTTATGCCCTTTCGGGAAGGGCACTGCGCTGCAGCCTGTTGTTTTCTTTGTGTTAAATGGTCCCTTTTGGAAACTGGCTCACTTGCAGATGGGCGCTTAGTGAGCACTTAACTCCCGGCAAAGGCAGAGGCCACTTCGCTCATTCCTACCAATCCAGACTTCGGCTTCCAAGACCAACATAAGCCTCAGTTGTAGAGACATTCTGCTGTCTCTGTCTAAGTAGCTCAAAAAATCCATCCCTCAAAATCTATCAATACCTTCTAACAACTTTTATTGCTGTATTTATTGCCTTTGTTACTACTTGATTTGCCAGTAAGAAGATTTTCAAACCATTGATAATTCAATTAGCTTCTAATGGTAATTTGTTTTGTTTAGCAGAGGAGAATTTAAAAATTGGTACCCTGCTAATTAACCCATTGATTGCCTACTGCGGCATACATAAAAGACAAATACTTCCTTTTGTAAGCTGGAATGTATGTTATATCTTTTCAGTTCCGTAAGAACTTAAGAATTCTCTTTAAAGTCATGAGTTTCTTTATAACTTTTTAAATGTGTAATAATTATAGAAGGTAGAGGTTTTTGATTACAGCACATTTTTATGTACAAATTTGGCAAATACAGAAAACCAGTAAGAAAATTAAATTCATCTGTAATACCATCACCTTGTGATAACAGTTTTAACATTTGGTATATGTCATTCCACTTTTTTCTATACATAGATATTAATATATTGTATTCCCTTTTTAAAACAAAATTAGAATTTTGCAGGCCTACATGTTTTTTATTATTTAAACAATGTTACACACATTTTCCATGTCATCGAGTATTCTTCTACAATATGTTAATGGCTACATTATATTTTATTGTATGTGTATGCCATAATTCCTTTAATCCCTCATTGTTTGGCAGATATTTTTGCTGATATAAAAAAATGGGTATGTTTGTAGATACCTTCTTGTTCACCTTCTTTATTGTCTCCTTTGATCTCTTATTATATCACTGGCAATATTTTAGAGGGCTTATTCCTTCTATCTTGACTGAGTTTATTTAATCTTCACCAATTTGTTAGATTTCACATGGAATTTCACCATTTTAATTCACATTTTTTAGAATTAAAAATATGTTTATTAGCCATGTATAATTTTTTTCATAAATTGCCTAGTTTATTTGTATCCTTTGCCCATTACGATGGAAGGTTTAACTTTCTTTTTTTATTATTTTTATACAATTAAGGAGTACAGGTACAGTTTTGTTACCTGGATACATTGTGTAGGGGTGAAGTCTGGGCTTTTAGTGTAACTGTCACCCAAATAGTGTACATTGTACCCATTAGGTGATTTCTCATCCTTCACTCCACCTCTACCCACCCACCTTTTGGAGTCTCCAACGTCAGTTATTCCACTCTGTACATCCATGTGTATGTACTGTTTTGCTCCCACTTATAAGTGAGAACACGCAGTATTTAACTTTCTGTTATTTCATTTAGGATAATGGCTTCCAACTCCATGCATGTTGCTACAAAATACATGATTTCATTCTTATTTATGGCTGAGTAGTTTTCTCTGGTGTGTGTGTGTGTGTGTGTGTGTGTGTGTGTGTGTGTGTGTGTGTGTTTTCTTTATGTAATTGTCTGCTCAGGACATTTAGGTTGATTCCAACACTGTGCTATTGTGAATAGTGCTGTGATAAACATACAAGTGCAGGTGTCATTTTTAGGACAACTTAGGTAGATACCCAGTTGTGGGATTGTTGTATTGAATGATAGTTCTATATTTAGCTCTTTGAGAAGTGTCCATACTGTCTCCTATAGAGGTTATACTAATTTCTGTTATCACCAACAGTGTATATGCATTCCCTTTTCTCCACATCCTCACCAACAGCTGTTGTTTTTTGACTTTTTAATAATAGTCATTCTGATTGGTGTGAAATGGTATCTTGTGTGGTTTTAATTTGCATTTATCTGATAATTAATGATGTTCAGCATTTTTTTATGTTTGTTGGCTGCTTGTGTGTCTTCTTTTCAAAAATGTCTTTTCCATTGTCTTTTGCCCACTTTTTAATGGGGTTGTTGTTTAACTTTCTTTTAATGATTTATAAGTATTTTAAATATGTGTAGGATGCTTATTCCTTTGTCATATGTGTTGCAAATTTTGTTTGCCTGTTGGCTTTTAGTCATCTTTGGAGAATTTGGGGGAAATTTTTCAATTCTTATTAATCAAATCAATCTGTTTTTTTCTTTTTTTTCCCCACCTGCCTTTTTCTGTATGCTTAGAATAGCTTCCTCAGCCTAAGATTAAACATTTACTTGTGTCTTCTCCTGGTGCTTGTTTGGTTTTACTTTTTACAATTAACATCTGCAGTGTATTTTAGTGTAAGAAGTGAGGTCGGGGTCCTGACTCTTTTTCTCAACTAACCAGATGATCTGGAACCTTACGATACGTAGTAGGACTCTTCGCCTCTCTTATCTGCAGTCCACCTTTAAGATACACTGAATCACTATCTGTTCTGGCTTCTCGCTAGTCTCTCTGTTATGCCATATTGAAAGTCTGTTTACTTGCATGCCAGTGTGATACCATGTAATTATTGTGGCTGTGCATTTTAAGACTACTTTTTGCCATACCACTTCTTCAAATTAGTATTCTTTTTCAAAATAATCTTGGTTATTCATAAACATTAATTCTTCCACATGGACTTTAGAATTGTTTACTCACGTTCTCTCAAGTTCTTACTAGTTTTATAAAATTGGAATTATAGCGGATTTATAGATGAAGAAAAGAACTGACACCTTTATAATATTGAGTCATCTTGTTGAAGAACAAGGTATGGACTTCAATTTATATGAATATTTTATTGTTCTTCAATAAAGCTTTGGGTTTTTATTATTGGTGGGGAGGAAGATTATTCTACAGTAAATAATTCATTTTTTTAATGCTGATCTTATGCTAACTTTGTTTCTAGGTGCTTTCTTTTACTTCGCATTTTTCAAATTGTGTTAAAGAGGCAGTTGTTCTTCAATAATTATTTTCACTTTGCCCCAATGGCAAACACAGATAATATATTTAAAAGCACCACAAAAACATTGCGTCAATTTTAGCCTCTTTTTATTAGGAAACATTCCCAAAGATAAATATTGTGGCCTAGACTACAACCATTTTTTTCACTTAAAAAATGCAGTTTCACTCCATTTTCCATCTGGCCTATTTTAAAATAGAAATAGAGAGACTTATTTCAATGTGAAATCAATTCTAAATAGAGACAGAATCAAACATGCACTAAATTTCACAGCTATAAGCTGAACAGTTCAAGTCCTAGAAAATTATCCAAACTTTGCAGATATAACCATCACTCAAGAGAAACCATTGTCCACACAATTAGGACTCAGAATCATTTAAAGTGATAGATATGAGGAACGGAAAGAACAGAAATAATTTTTTGTGGTTTTCCTACTGTCCCACTTTTTTTGATGAATAAGCAAATATTAAATAATTTTCATTAAATACATCAACATAAAATTAAACTAGTTTTCTCTCAAACTTTAGTCCTCAAAAGAACATCCAGAGTACTTCATATTATTTTTACTCTGCATTTAATATAAATTTCTTATAATTAAAATACTGCCAGGGAAAATAATATATTGCCTATTTTAGACTTATTTAAATACTTTTTCTACAAACAAGCCCTTACCTGATAGTTTGGTGGACACATTGGCTTATCTCTTGCTCTAATTTAAAAGCAAAGTTACAGAAAAACTCTTTCTGCTCAATTTTCAGCTTCTTAAATCTGGCCCAAATCAAAGGTATTATAATAATTGACTTACTGTCATCATTTGTACTGTCATTCACATTTGATGCAGTAAAATTGTGCTTTGGGTCTCAATTAGCAGCCAATGTCTATGTGCAAACATCTCTTAAATCTTTTTTTAAAAAAAGTTATTCTCGTGTAGTCTGAAGGAGGCACATTATTTGAAGTGGAAACAGAACTTTGAGGTTATAAAAGTCAAGAATCCTAGAAAGCCTATGGTGCCAGATCCATTTTAAAAAAATTTTTATACAGTGGAAAAAGTGCAGACTAAAACTAAAATGAGTGTCCTTTAATATCTACAGACTTGAACTTTTTCGTGAGTTGATAATGTTGGAGAAAACTGGGAAAATATTCATGCTTAATAGTGTATGTTTTGGTACAGCCTTTCTTGCAGTAATTTGAATATTCTCTGACCCAGGAATTCTAATTCTAAAATTTCTTCTTATGAAATAATCACAGAAATGTACAAAATCACATATGATGAATAAACTGTGTTCATTGTAACACTGTTTATAATAATGAAAAATTGGAAATTACCCAAAAGTCCATAATGAAATAATTGGTTCAATAAATTTCACGTGATAGGAAACTCTGCAGCCATTAAAATGATGATGCAAATCTACATTTATTTAAATACAAGGAGGGTAACAATATAATGATGTCCAGTTGTTAAAGCCGGTGGTCAATTCTTATCTGAATTGGACAGTTCTCCTTGACATACTTCTTTGTGTGGTTTCAGGATTCCACATCCTCTGGCTTTTCTCCAGCCTCGCTGGTTCCTCCTCCTCTCCCTTACTGTTGATATACACCCGGTCCTCTTCTCTGTCTATACTCACTTATTTGGTGAACTCAGAAAAAAACATTCAGCCTATGAGCATGTGCATGAGGACAATTCTCAGATTTATATCTCTAAACAAGCCTTCTCTCCCAAACCCCAGTTCCATTTATCTACTGCCTACTCAGCACTGCCACTTGCATCTTTAATAGATGTCTCAACAGGCTCAAAATCGAATTCCTGATCTCCCACAAACCAGCTCTACCCACAGAATTCCCTATCTCAGCTAAAGGCGACTACAGCTGTACATTATTATAGTTGCTCAAGACAAAAACCTTGTAGTCATCTTTGATGCCTCACTTTTTGACACACCCTACATTCACTCTATCAGTAAAACCTGTTGGCTCTATCTTCATCTCCACTGCCACCCAGGCCCAAGCCACCATCATACCTCACCTGGATTATGGGAGTAGCTCCTAAATGGGCTCCCTGTTTCAACCCTTGCCCCCCAGAGTGTGTTCTCAATACAGCAGCCGTATTTTAATATGTAAGTCAGATTCTGTCACTCCTCTGCACTGATGTCTACACTCTCCATTTCACTTAATATAAAAACCAAAGCCTTACAAGGCCAATTTTCCTATTGCTCTTTCCAAATAGCACAGGTCTTCTTGGTATTATTTCAGCCTATCAAGTATGTGGGAAAAGGGCTTTGCCCTCAGTTTGAGTTCTAACTCCATTACTAGTGTGCCTCGAGACTTTAGTTTCCTATCTACAGAATGAGAATCATCTGTCCCGCCTACCACACAGGATTAAGGTGGAAGTGCTTTTTAATCCTAAAGCCTTCTCTAAGTACAAGGGTTATTATAATTTTCAAATATCACTTCTAAAACTTGTCTTGTTTGCTTGAGAATTTTTTGTTATGTCTAGTCCGCTGTTTATGTGTGGTCAATTCAGACAATAGTTTCTTTTATGTCAGGCACTCTGAGGATATGAGAGTAGCTAGGTCATGGTCTCTCAAATAATTTGCATATATATATTTGCATATATAGAGATAGATATAATAGACATATATCCTGCAACAAACTGCTTTATCTCAGTTACTCAATGTGGAGGTCACTTGTATTTCAGGGTTGTCCTTGGCTATCTTGATGACCCAAGTGAGGACATTCAGGATCCAGTGAGTGACAAATTCTTCAAGGAGGTGTGGGTTTCAACAGCAGCTCGAAATGCTACAATTTATGACAAGGTGAAGTTCACGTATTCCCCTCCTCCGTTTCTTTTCACTGAATCTCATCACAAAAAGCATATTGTTATTTCTGCATATTATTGGTACAGGGTATTCTTAATAAACGTAAAAAAGCTAATACATGTCCAGGTTGTAATAAAATACCTCTTTGTGGACCCTGAAAAACAAAGGCAAAAAGCATTGTGGATTTTGGTTTAGAAGAGGCTTTAGCAGCATTCCAGTCTCTCCTGTGATGCAGGAATCCCATCAGCAGCATCCTTAGCACCTGGTTACCCAGCCTTTGTACATGTCTAGTGACAAAGAGAAGAGGGGCAGATGGCATAAAAAAACAAGCCACAGCTGAGTCCAGCCTAGCTCACCCCGTTGCTGGTGTTATAACCTTGTGTATAGTGACTTAACTTTCTGAGTTTCTTTTTCCTCTCCTATAAATTGGGAGGAATATTCACAAGGGTAGTTATGAGGACAAAGAATAGTCTAGTGAATGGTTTTAGCACATAGTGTATAGTAAACAGTATTCATCCTTATGATGAATCTTGTTAATATTAATAACAAGACATGTCATTTGTTGGACAGCTCTAGTTTTAGAAAGGTGTTTTAAAACCGGCTCCATTTGATGCATACCAAATGCATTGCCTGTGAAGTCTATCCTTTGGTTATAATAAAGAATGTAAAAGAGTTAAGAGTTGCGTAACAGTAGAACAGCTTACTTCGAAAAGTAGCTAGTTGCCCATCAGGGAAAACTATTCAAGCTGTGTTCTAGCCCAGACTAATTGACCATCTGTGAGAAGTTGGATAAGTCTGTGTTCTTCTTCATGACTTCCAGGGACAGACGTGAACCTCTTTAAAAAAAAAAATTAGGGAAAATACGCAATTTTTCTCTTAGAGCCCCTTCCAGCAGAGAAACTTATTATTCTTAATGAAACATGTCTACTGTCTGTATAACCTTGTTTCTTTTCTTTCTTTCCTTTTTTTTTTTTTTTTAATTGACATGGAGTCTCACCCTGTTGCCCAGGCTGGAGTGCAGTGGCATGATCTCGGCTCACTGCAATTTCTACCTCCTGGGTTCAAGTGATTCCCCTGCCTCAGCCTCCCGAGTAGCTGGGCCTACAGGTGCCCACCAGCACACCCAGCTAATTTTTGTATTATGATACAGGCTGGTCTTGAACTCCTGACCTCAAGTGATCCGCCTGCCTTGGCCTCTCAAAGTGCTAGGATTACAGGCATGACCCAATGCGCCTGACCCCTGTATAACCTTATTTCATCCTTATTTCATGGACCGAAGGCCATGATCAAATAGGTCATGTGCATAGAGTCATTAAAATGTAATTTTACAAATGCAGTGCACAGCCTTATTTGGGTCCTGGATTTGGGGGAAAACATCTATAAAAGACATTTTGGGGATAACAGGATAAATCTGAATATGAAGCATAACTTAAATGACATTATATAATTAATTTTCTTAGGTGTGAGAATAGTGCTGTGATTATATAGGCACATGTCCTTATTCTTAAGACATACCTGCAGAGAAGTATTCAGGGGTGAAGTGTTATGATATCCAAAACTCATTTTCAACCAGCAAAGTAAGTGTTACATATTAACAATTGATAATGCTATGTAAAGGTACAGATATGAGCCTCTTTCAAGAAAAGTTAGGGAAAATATAATATGCAATATTCCTCTTAGACCAGAAGCTCCAGTGAAATTCAGGGATGATTATTATCCAAAAAAAATTAACCTTAATGTGGGGTAACATTAGTGTAATTTCTTGCCACTAACCATGATTTTTTAAATGGAAGCAGATCTATCTGTTTGTAGCAGATCTATCTATTGTTGGTTATAAGATAACCAACTCTTAAATCAGGTCTGTGCTGTAACATAAGACTAATAATATGTTTCATACAACAGAGGTCTTGTCTGTTGGAATAATTATTTTCCATAAAGGCCATGTGCTCGCTTTTAAACTTTTCACTCATTTTTCTATTTATGCTCTAATCAGGTTTTCCGGTGCCTTCCCAATGATGAAGTACACAATTTAATTCAGCTGAGAGACTTTATAAACAAGCCCGTATTAGCTAAGGAAGATCCCATTCGAGCTGAGGAGGAACTGAAGAAGATCCGTGGATTTTTGGTGCAATTCCCCTTTTATTTCTTGTCTGAAGAAAGCCTACTGCCTTCTGTTGGGACCAAAGAGGCCATAGTGCCCATGGAGGTTTGGACTTAAGAGATATTCATTGGCAGCTCAAAGACTTCCACCCTGGAGACCACACTGCACACAGTGACTTCCTGGGGATGTCATAGCCAAAGCCAGGCCTGACGCATTCTCGTATCCAACCCAAGGACCTTTTGGAATGACTGGGGAGGGCTGCAGTCACATTGATGTAAGGACTGTAAACATCAGCAAGACTTTATAATTCCTTCTGCCTAACTTGTAAAAAGGGGGCTGCATTCTTGTTGGTAGCATGTACTCTGTTGAGTAAAACACATATTCAAATTCCGTATACCAAAATCCATTTCCTTTGTAACAAGAATTTACCAGTAACTGTGATCTAGGTTGCCAAAAGTTGTCTGAATCTCCTTATTCTTCTCTGATCTTCATTTATGCAGCCAATGTCTAGCTGGACCTGCCCTCATCTTGCAGTTCATACAGGCACTGTTTGAGAGATTGTTTATTATTAGATGTTGTAATGCTGCTTCAAGATTCTTCATGGTTACATGGGATGCCCCTGCTCATCTGGTCCTGAAGTAGTAACATTCACCCAAATGAGGATATAG
Organism: Homo sapiens; assembly: GCF_000001405.40. Lineage (NCBI taxonomy): Eukaryota > Metazoa > Chordata > Mammalia > Primates > Hominidae > Homo > Homo sapiens. Next base: position 171,602,526 of record NC_000003.12, on the reverse strand, counting down.
TCATTATTCCTTTTCAGTCACTGTACGAACACGGCAGACTTTAGCCTACACAGTAGACTGTGTTAGGCACTTCTGGTAACATTGACACTGTATCTTGACACCACTAAGCAACAGGAAGGAATAAATTCCAATATTGAGACAGAGATTTATTTCATTTTGCTCCCAAAGGCACTGACAACATGAGTCCTTGTGATTAGGCCCACCTGATCAAATGTAAAAACATGCATGGGATATTTGATTACGTAACAACCAGCTAAAACTGAGAGCACACAGCCTTCGGAAACCCCCAAGGTGTCGAGGAGGATCAGATCCAGATAAGAGAAGATGATTCCTTCTAGTCCTGTAAAATTTCCTGTCATCCTTAGCTGCTGGGTTGATTGAAATTTGATCTCTACATTTCAAAATCAAACTAGTGAATACAGTTTGTCTTTCAAGAGAATCAGAGGCATCGTAACTCCTACCAAGTTAGTAAGTATGAGTCTAACCTTGTTTGACATTCAGGTCTTCTGCTACATTATCTTCTTTGAGAAAAATTAATTGATTATAAAATATGTGCTACTTCACTTACATTATTAAATATGTATTAACGCCTCTCACCAGGGCTTCCAGTGAAGTTACAATGCCCTAGTCTGTGAATTAGTCTGGAAACGTGTTTTTCCTTTTCGGATGTTAGAGTACCCTTTGATAAACTAAATTTTACTAAGCTGAACAACTCTGACAGTCTAAAGAGCTAATGTGGGTTACCAAAAGGCCTGTACCTGTAAAACAAAATGCAGGTGTAATGATTATACATGTCTATGGATTACCTGGACATACTCTCATTTGGGTTGTTCTTCAAAGAAGCAAGCAGCCGATCCCTGTTTTCATAAAGCTAATACTTCAGTTGGAAAAATTAAACAGGAGCACAAAGTCAGGGATAGGGGTTAGCAGAAGAGAGAAATAGTGTCACATCAAGGGCAGGATCTCATAGCTAGGGAACATTTCACAAATAAGGTGAGATTTTGTAACCAATAATAAAAATGAATGTTTTTATAAGTAAATAACTTATTTTTCATATGGCTAAAGATGGTAAAATGACTTCATTCTATAGCCATTGTAAATAAGAATTTGCTATTGATGAAAGAAGTTCAGATTGGCATTTGAAGTATTGAGTGTATGGGATCTCTAAGGATTTCTTAGATTTTATATTTAAATATTTTTTAAACCTTAGAGGAGTCAACAAACTGGCTCTTGATTTTCAGCACCCTACTCTCATGAAAAAAGCCTGAAAGGACCCTTTCCCTTATAAGTAATTTAATCCAATTTCTCCCCATTTTATAGATGAGGAAACTGAGGCTCAGATCAGATGAGAACTCACTTAAATCCACTCAATGTGTAGATGGTAGAGCTGGGACTAGCAACATTGCTGCAGCCCATTGTTGGCCTCTCTCTTCACTTTATCATTGCCCAAGAATGAGGATATGCAGTAAACAGAATTCAGGCAAGATACCTCTAAGCTGTTTTGAACCCTCTGATATTTTGTATTTATGTGTTTGTCTGTCTCCCCCTACTAGAATGTAAGCTCCATGGGGCAGGGACTTCACTGTATTTTGTTCATAGTGTATCCCCAGAGCCTGGACCAGTGCTTGGCACATAGGAGATGGCAATAAATGCTTGTAGAATTAATAAACAAGGTGAAGGAGAGAGCTAATGAAATGAAAATCTTAGTCTCATATAAGAAGTCTTACTACTGCTTTCTATGGCAAGTTCCTTTTCTATTGCATCTTCCCAAAGACAAGATGCTCATCTGCAAAGGGGTGATAAGATTTACTTGGAGGGATTTTATGGAAAATTCAGTGCAATAATTGCTTTTTTTTTTTTTTTTGCAGTAGCAGTTTACATAGTACAGCATTCTGCAAAAATTGCATGAAATGTGGACACAAGATGTACTGTATGACTTAATTACCTGTCATTCTCTGACACCATTACTACCTACTAGAAGTTCAAATAATTTATCTTTAACATTGCAATATCTGATAAACTTTTTAAAATGTAAATAATTCAAAGCCTTGAAAATCTATCATGAATCTGCTCAACATTTCAAAGTGACTATTTTGAAATGCCTATAAATGCTATATACCTGACATCCTGCTAATTTCTGTAATAATTTTTGTTTTCAAGAGGGAAAAATTCTAGTATTACAAAAAATGAATGATGGAAAGTGGCCATGGTGTATTAAAGCTATTCAGATTGGCCACGTTCAGTCGTCGGAGGATAGCCTTAGCATAGCAAGTCTGGTGCGGGCGTTTGTTCTGAATCTAGTGTCCAGCCCATGACTCACCCTTCGGTGGGATGTTTTTAATTCTTACCTGGAATGCATCACAGGGAGGCATAGAGAGCTGGTCATTAGATAATTGTGTGGCATACTGTAAAACAAAATGTTTATTTTCAAAGCACTTTTGAAAGGAAATTTTGTCTGTAAGTACTCAAAATATGGACAGTTAATTTCTTATGTAAGAACTTGGGAAATTATAATATCATGAATTAATACTTTTCCAGACAAAAACAACAAGCTGAGAAGTCATTTTGCGGATATAAGACTAGGAAAAATAGATTTATGTATATAGAGCCTGAACTTTTTCTGCATCTCCTCATTTCTTTTTTTTTCTTTTTCTTTGTTTTCTTTTCTCTTTTTTTTTTTTTTTTTTTTTTTTTTTTTTGAGACTGGGTCTTGCTCTGTGGCCCAGGCTGGCAGTGGTGTGATCTCAGCTCACTGCAGCCTCTGCCTCCTGGGCTCAAGCAATCCTCCCACCTTAGCCTCCTGAGTAGATGGGACTACAAGTGCATGCCACTACACCCAGCTAATTTTCGTATTGTTTGTACAGATAGCATTTTTCCATCCCAATGCCAAGCAGGCGGATTGCTTGAGCTCCCTCCCCTGTGCTGGGATTGCAGGCGTGAGCCACCGCACTGGCCTCCTCATTCCTTATTCCTTCAGTCTCTATCCCCTACCACAGCACCTTCTTGTTATGTAAAAATTATTTCAAAAGACAAGAAAAAGTATTCTGGAAAAAAAATCAGGCCTTATATTAGTCTGCTCAGGCTGCCAAAACAAGATGCTCTAGACTGGGTGACTTAAACAACAGAAATTTATTTTCTGACAATTCCAGAGACAGGAAGTTGGAAATCAAGGTGCCTGTATGGTAGGTTTCTGGTGAGGACTCTTCCTGGCTTGTCGGCCACCTTCTTACCGTGTGCTCACATGGCCTGTTTGTGTGAGCACAGGAGGCAGAGGGCAAGCTCTCTGGTGTCTCTTCTTCCAAGGCCACTAATCCTATAATGAGCACCCTACTCTCATGACGTCATCTAACCTGAAATTACTTTCCAAAGGCCCCATTTCCAAATACCATCACATCAGAGATATGGGCTTCATATGAGCTGGGAGGGAAGACACAAACATCATTCAGTCTATAATAAATATTCACTTAACTCATACTTTAAAGTGACTGACAAAATAGAATTTTTTCACATAGGTCATTGTTCTTTTTAACTTGCCTGATCTGATGTGGCACCTGAGCATTTTCTGGTACCTGTCACCCTCCGTAGCAGGGGTGACAAGGACCTGTCATGTCTCCTTAGTCCTCTGCTATTTCTTATACAAAAGGAGCAAATGCTAAAGGATTTTAAGTGTGCTTAGTATATATGTGTATTTCCTTGGACTATTCATTGAGGTCAACTACTACTGCAAGTTTGGTGATCTAAAATGAGTTTACCCAGGCCTAGGCCTTGAGAGATTCTTGAATCTAGAAGTCCACTGGAAAAGGAATTCATCCGCCTCTATGAATAAGATGCAAGTAGAAGAATCAATAGATATGCATTTTTTTAAAAAGGGGCAAGTATCATAATATGATTCTTACTGTCAATTTAATTCATATATAAGATGTTCCTGGTTTTCACTTGAGATTGGAAGGATTCATTAAAGGAGTCAAAAATTCCCAGCTTAATTTTATAGGTTATTTTATTTTTCCTTTATACCATTCATAATTTTTAATTTAAAAGTAATCAAACCCTGGATAAATGAAAATCTATCACTAATCATTTTATTTTATTTTATTTTATTTTTTATTTTATTTTATTTTATTTTGAGATAAAGTTTCACTCTTGTCACCTAGGCTGGAGTACAGTGGTACAATCTTGGCTCACTGCAACCTCTGCTTCCTGGGTTCAAGCCATTCTCCTGCCTCAGCCTCCCGAGTAGCTGGGATTACAGGTGCCTGCCACCACACCTGGCTAATTTTTTTTTTGTTGTTGTTTGTTTGTATTTTTAGTAGAGACGGGGTTTCATAATATTGGCCAGGCTGGTCTCGAACTCCTTACCTCAGGTGATCCACCCGCCTTGGCCTCCCAAAGTGCTGAGATTACAGGCATGAGCCACTGTGCCTGGCCACACTAATCATTTTAAACCTTTACGTTTTAAAATTAGGTTCAATGGTAGTCCAACCAAAACATGGGCTCAATCAGTCTTCCCTATTTCCAAGCAACTGTCATTCTTCACTTTATTCTAGATAAGTGCATTTAAGTGAATGTCATTCTAGCTCTGTGTAATGCTAAGAAATACAACATCATACCCTCCCAATGTATATTCCACTTGGATTCTTCACATAAAATGGACTACACCAACAGCACTGATGCTCTGCATTTTAAAAATTCATACCAAATTATTCCAGTTGGAGCACACACACACTCTGACACAGAAAGCAAATATTGGATGATGAACATCCATTCAGAATATCCAGATATTCTGGAGAGAACTGGAGCTCATAGCCTTCCCTCTAGGGCAGGTTTGGCAAACTAAGTCTGGGCCTCCTGTTTTTGTAAATAAAATGTTATTGAAACACAGCCACACCCATTCATTTATATGCCCTCATGATTGTATGATCCATAAATCCTAAAATATTACTATCATTAAGACAAAACTTGCTGATCCTTCCTACAGAAAGCAGAAGATATCCAGACAGGGTACCTCAATCAGGCAGATTTGGAGGAGTTTTAATCTCCTCCATCAGTAGAGTTTTCAATTCTCCCTATCCCAGGCCCCAACAGTTTACAATGTGTTTATTATAAGAACATAGCCAAATCCTTTCAGGAATTAAAATTACATGGTTTTTGGTTCTGAAAGAGAAGTGGTCGGCTAAAGCAGGTATCTCCCAGACAAGCACTCATCAACATGCATGGTGGAACATGCTTGTAACTGAAGTGTAATGCATATGAGGAGGGATAAGCCTAAGTGTTGTATTTATAATTGGAATTGTGAAATCAAGAAACTTGGTTTCCCTGAATTGTCCTTCTGTGAAGTGTTGGAAATGATACATGTATCCCTTCGTAGCTTCACAGTCAATGCTTTCTATATCCCTTAACTACTTTTTCTTTAAATATCAATTAATTGAGCAATGAAAAGTGTGAAATCAGCAGTGTGCCTCTATTTGAAAATAAGATTCCTCTTTCTGCATGTGGGGCTTTTGGAGCCAGTATGCTGTATGTCTCAGATGAAGACAGCAATGTGTGCCTCTAGAGACCTCCTCTGCACACAAGCATGTGTCCCCACGAAGGTCCGTTGTAGATTCAGAGTGCATTACAGAGGCGTAGCTCCCTGGCCCCTGCCCAGGCCTCTCTCACCTTAAGGTGTGCTGATACCTTGATGAGGTGAATTTATTTTAAAAGACCAACATGGCATTCGATAAGCACATACTGTGCAGGGCCCAGTCAGGATGCTGGGGTTGCATCAATGAACAAGTCACACCAGGTTCTCCTCCTTTGTGGTACTCTCCCTTTAGCAAATGGAGACTACAAAGCTATTTCCATTCTCAACATAAGAAAATGCATGAAATAAGATGCAATTGGGTGGAAGTGTAGGAATTTTCCCAAGCTAGGGAGAATAGCAAAGACTGATAAATGCTGAAGACACCAGAGTATGAACCAGGAAGCAACCATGGTATGGAAGACACCAGAGTATGAACCAGGAAGCAAAATATTACCAGTACCAATGACAATAATAATAGTTAAGATTTTAGTGGCTTTGTTGGCCACAGCCTCTTCTAGGCACTTCAGATTTTAGTTCATTGACTACTTTTATAACTGGCTGTCTGCAGGTCAGGGGGCCAAACATACTCCAGTGCTCTCTGAACCCCAAGATTGTCCTCTACCTCCACTTAAAGCCCCTGCAGCCTTACATGTAACCCCCAGGCCCATGAGGTGTAAGTGTGGAACTAACCAGCAAGTAGTAGTGGGAAAAGCATGGGCTTCAACATTACTGAGCTCACCTAAAATCTTGGCCTTGCCAATTGCCAGCACTGGGAGCTCCTTGAGCAGATGAACCTCTCTAAGGTTTTCAGCAGCATGGTAATAAGGCCATGGGAGACCTAGCAAAAAGCACAATATTTGGCATATAGTGGGTGCCTTCTACCAAATCAGTGCTAGCTGCTGCAACTGCCTTTCGTTATTCTCTTAAAGTGAGGGCGTCTTGAAGAGAGAGGACACACACAACCCATGACCACATCTTTGGTCTGGATGTTAGGTCATCCAGACTAAACTGCCAAAGAAACTAGAAGAGCTACTCAGCTGAACCCAGCCCAAAACGCTGACCCACAGAATTATAAGCAAATAAAATTGTCACTGTCTTAGCCACTAAGTTTTAGAGTGGTTTGTGACACTGCAATAGATCATTGATAGAGTCACGCTTCTTCAGGGTATTCTGTTTTTCCTTTTTCACATTCTAATTGCTCTACGATCTTCTGCCTTCTGGCTTCTAGCCACTCCACCTAAACTGATCCATCTCTGTTTTTCTAGTCTTTAGTAATATATAAGTGCAGGAAAACAGTCTGTTGCATGATAAGAATGACACCCTTCTTGAAGCGAAACTGCCATGATGATGGATGTTTGATTCCTGCATATCAAGGTGTTCTGCAGCAAGGTTCTTAAATAATACCTGTAGCATAGATGATAACCCCTCATAAAGATGCTTATCTCACCTCCCTCTAGCCCAGATCTCTCCCCTAAACTCCAGACATGCCTGAAGATTAGATATTTCTACCTGCTTTCTTCACGTGCTCCTCAAACTCAACAACACAGCCTATCCAAAATGACAACCATCATCAGTACTCTCTTCCAGTCTGCGGTCAATGCTCCCACAGGGCTCCTTCTGTTGTTCCTTGTATTAAGGAACAGCCCCACCAGCCACCAACTGCCAAACTGGAAAATAATTATCATTCTTGATTCCCCCCTTTCTCTTACCTTCTCCATATCATTAGCCACCAAATCTATCAATTCCACTACCTCAATGTCTCCCAATTGCTTTCAATTATTTTTCCTCCCAATGCCACTTCCTGCTCCACCTTGGTCACCATCACTTCATCTACATTAACTAGTCTGTCAAGTCTGGTCACTCCCAGATTTATTCACTGCAGTCAGAGATATTTTTAAAATGTAAGTCTGGTCATATCTTTTCCAGTTTAAATTCCTTTGAGAGATTTTGTTTTAGGGTAAAGTCCTAGAAAGGTTCTGCAAGGCTCTTTATAGACTGCCCCCTTTTTAATCCTCCAGCTGAATCACCTCCTGCTGCTGCTCTTCTTTTGAGCAATACTCAGTTTGGCTCCTGTATATCCCTTTCTTCTGACTTTCTTAAAGCCTATTTTTTTTTCTCCTAAGTAGCCTTCTTTGACCCCCGCCCCCACCCCACTCTGGCTTAGTATTGTGGCCTCCTGGGTGCTGCCATAGCATGCTGTCCTTTTCACAGCATTCCCACACCATATATGATGCCTGCTACAGTAGTACCCTGAGCTCTAAGCAATGGGAGCTCATGAACCACGACTGTCTTGGGCATTGGGGCACCTCCAGGACCTAATGTACTTCAGACAGACCATATGCATAATAGATAGTTGGTAGAGAAAATGAATAAATCTGAAAAAGAGACGAATGGAAAAAGAGAAGGATAGCAGATTGCTGCACTTGCCAAGATCTAGGAAGAATAGAAGTGTTTAGACTGTGTCACTGCCTGAGCTAGAAAGGTCACATTTAAATTGACAATAAAAAGAAGGCATATAGTAGGGCTGTCTACTGTGGCAACTTCATTCTCAGCCAGCCTCTCAAATGGTCAAGGGCAACCAGCAAGAGGTGAGGCAAACGGGAACCTGTGCTGATTGCATTAATTTTATGTCTTGTTCCATCGACAGGGAATTGAGAAGTGGTAGAGTTGGAGGGGAAGAAAATTTTGGTTTTACACATCTTGGCATTTGACTACATTCTGTCTGATATGTTTTATTTGGGTTCCCCCTAAAGCAAACCTTGAGACAAAGATTTGAATGAAGGTAGTTTAATTAGGATGTGTTCTGAGGAAGCACATGCACGGGAGTGGGTAAGCAAGGGAAGGGCAAAGCCAATAAATGGTGCATTAAAGAACAAGTTACCACTGATGGCAACGTGGCCCTTACCCACTGAAGGCTCTGAGGCTTGAGGAGACTGACACTGAAGGTCACCCCTGGGGCTGTAAACCCCCAACACTCCTGGAGCTTCCCTGCACACAGTTTCAGCTTCCCTGCATGCAGTTGCTGGGCCAGAGAGAGCCAGCAAAGAAGCAGAGAGAAACCCATTCAGGGCAAAGCTGTCAACTTGGTAGGAACTGGCCCCTGTGGCCACAGGTAAACTCAGAGCAGGCTGAGGGTCTATGTGATTGGACATCAACAACACTAGGTTGAATAAACCTTTAATTTTTCACAATAGTTGGTACAGCTGTTATAGAAAATATTCTGGAGTTTCCTAAAAAAAATTAAAACTAGAACACCATATGACCCAGTATTCCCACTCTGGGTATATATCCAAAGGAAATGATATCAGTATCTCAAAGAGAGATCTGCATTCTCATGTTCATTTTGGCATTATTCACAATAGCCAAGATATGGAATCAATCTAAGTGTCCACCAACAGTTGAATGGATAATGAAAACGTGTTGAATGGAATATTATTCAGCCATAATAAAGATAGAAATCCTTCCATTTGTGACAACATGGATTAACCTGGAAAATATAATGCTAAGTGAAATAAACCAGACTCAGCAAGACAAATACTGGGTGATCTCACTTATATGTGCAATCTAAAAAAGCCAAACTCATAGAAGCAGAAGGTAGAATGGTGGTTGCCAGAGGCTGGAGGGTAGGGGCAGTGGAGGAAGTGGGGAGATGCTGGTCAATGGGTACAAATTCAGTTATAAGATGAACAAGTTCTGGGATCCAACAGTCAGCACAGCATGGTGACTATTAGTTACTAGTACTGTACTGCGTACTTGAAATTTGGTAAGAAAGTGGGTCTTAAATGTTCTCACCACATAGGAAAAAATAGGATAATTATGTGAGGTGATGCATGTGTTTATTGGCTTGATTATGATAATTATTTCACAAAGTACATGTATATCAAATCATCACATTCTGTACCTTAAATATATACAGTTTTTATTTGTCAATTACACCTCAGTAAAGCTGGGGGTGGGGAATTTCACAATGTTGTAATTCTTATCCATTCTAGAAGCATGTAATTTCCCTCATGACAGGAATATTCTAACTTTTTATGCCCTTTGTACTGGGCTTATCACAATCCTGAGCATATTGTTCAAGTTATGCAAAAATTGAATTGAAAAGTTGCCACCTCAATCCTCTTCCCCCAAGGCTTCCTATGCTTATGATATTTGAGATTCATTAGGCCAATTCATAAAGCTCAGGGGAGAACCAAAGAAATAAAAGCCGTTTTTATATTAGAGTGATGCAGTAAGAAGTGGATTTCTAAATTTTCCTGTGGTATTTATAAAGTCTCCATCATTTTTTAAAACATAAAATACAGTTAAAGCTGTGATAATGGAACTAAACGTCAGGTCACAATCTCATTTGACAACAGAAAATTAAAATTATACAGTTTTCCCCAAGATATTTGACTATTTCCTTTCTAGAATAGACAAAAGGGCTGGTTTAGAATTGTACTGATAACTCAGGAAGCAAACGTTTAGTGATTGAGAAACAACAAAAAGGGTACTTTTGAAAAGTCTTTGAAAATAAAGACACTATTTTCTGAGCTTCTTTTTCATATCCCTTCTTCATTAACAAGAAACTTTACACTGCAATGTGTTCTCTACATATAGATGCAAGGACCTTATGGTGGAGGCTAAAATCAGGAAGTTCTTGATTAGCAGTTGGAATCACCCTCTCCAAACCCTGCTATTGATATGCTTTTCATTCCTGGAACAGCAACCCAGATCTGTGTCAAAGACACCACCTTGTTTTGAAACTGGTCTGTGGTGTCGTTGAATGCTCCTCTTCTCTTTTACTACCACGCTTTCATATGCCCTCTTTTTCAAAGTCTAAGTGTATTTTTCCAACTTTTTTTCTTAACTAGTTTTGGACCTCTAGTGCAAAGGATTGAGTTAATCACATCCCTCAATTCAAGGCCTAGTAAGATCCCCTCTCTTGCTTAATTCATTAATTTATTTTTTATCTCCATACCATATTCATCTTTCTTCTTCTTGCAATAGACATGCATTTCAACATATTTTACGTATATATTTTCATGTGAGTATGTCCTTGCAAAATGTATATTGTCATTTTGTGAATTTTTATTTACATGAATGATGTATGTTGCATTCTATTTCTGACAATACACTGTTTTTAAGATCCAACCACGTTGATGTATGTAGTTCTAATCTTTTGTGTTTAATCATTGTATTTAATGTTAAGTGATCACTACACTTTGTCCATCACTTTGGCAAAAATTGACACCTGGGTTACCTCCAACTACCCACTACCACAAATACGCTGCAATGAAAATCCTCATCCCAGAACACATGGACACACTGTGGGGAACAACACACACTGGGGCCTGTCGGGCCCGGGCTGGGGGATGGGGGGAGGGAGGGCGTCAGGAAGAATAGTTAATGGATGCTGGGCTTAAATACCTAGGTGATGGGTTGATGTGCACAGCAAACCCCCATGGCACATGTTTATGCATGTAACAAACCGGCACATCCTGAACATGTACCCCAAAACTTAAAAGTTGAAGAAAAAAAAAAGAAAACAAGAAAATCTTTATCCCATAGGGCTGCTCACAACTGGGCAGGTGGCTTCCCTCAGAGTGAGTGATCTAAGAAAGAGCAAAGCAGAAGTCACAGATCTTTTATAATCTAGCTTTGGAAGTCACAAATTATCATTACAATGATACTCTATTTGTTACACCAGTCAGCCCTACTCAATGTGGGAGAAGACTATGCTACAACATGAACACCAGGAGGCAGGGATTATTAGAGTCATCTTGGAGGTTAGCTGCCACACACATTGGACATGAGGCTCCTTTTTTTTTTTTTCCAGATTTCTTGTTTTCCCATATAGATATTTGAGTGTGTGTGTGTATGTGTGTATGTGTGTGTTTCTCTGCTTTTTGCATGAATTGATTATTGTGTGATAGCTCTACTTCCCAGGAGATGTACCTTCCTGTGCTTACAAAAATTCCAAAGCCTTTGTCTTCATATTCCCACTGAGTTCTATTATAAGAATTGTCAAATGGTTGCCAAATGCTGTTCATAAAAAGGAAAGTCATGATAGGTTTTCAACACCTGGAAAAAAAGCCCATCATATTCAAGAACCTGAATTTGATTAAGCCATGATATTTTTGAACACTTAAGCCAGCCTAAACTCTTCTTTCTATTGTTGCACATAGTGGGATTTGTTTCAACTGATTTTATTTTCATTTTTTGAAATATATTCTTAAATAACATGTATAGATTAGTGAGATTGTTGGCCTTTTATTAAAAGTCAAAAGAAGTATAGAAAGGAAAAGCATCCTTTTGACACTTTTATAGGACAGAAGAACTATAACAAAGGATGGTTTTTAAACAAAATGTTTTATTACAAGAGAAAATGGTTATTACAACAACTCTGAAATAATATCACATGAAAAATGAAAATAAATATTCTTTTTGTTTCTACTAGTCTGTGGCCCTTGAGTTTTTCAACACGACATTTTTGCACATCAAATAAAAGGTTAAGGGATATGAATAATAGCAATACAACAGAGAATCAAATATTCATTTTTCATTAGGAAAATATAAAAAGAAAGAATGTAAGCCGATCCTTACCATTTTTAATTTATTGAAGCAAAAATGTCTTTCAGCATGAATGCAGTATTACCATCCAAAGGAGGATGTGCGTGAGCATTGAGAGTCCAAGGGGAAAAGAAAGTCACTCAATCTGAGTGCTTCTCCCGTCATGTAGGCCAGGGAGATGAATTATTTGCTGAGAAATCCACCTGAATTTATAGAGTTACCACAGTTGAGAGCCTCAGCACTGAAGCAAACCACTGCAACACAATTTTAATCTTGGTTACTAATTCCTTTTATTTTGGGGTTCCCAGTGTGTTTGAGGCTCTCAAAGAGTTCCTCACTGCTCTGCCAAAAAAAGCACATGACAGGCCATTAACAGCCTCCTATGGGAAACCTGCCTCTCGGAAAGCTTGGTACGTCCTTCCCAACTTGTGTTTGACTTGAGTGAGAGAGACACAGGCCAAGGGACCAATGATTTATCCACTTCCCAGACCACGCCGAAACCAGTAAACCTCAAGCAAGACTGGACAGATTTCTTTTTGCCTTGCTTGATCTCTCCAGAGATTTCTAGTTAGGAGTGGAAATTTGGAGAAATGAAAGATAATGATATTACTTGAACAGTCATTACAGGCCATGCTTCTGGTTTACTGTTGGGAAAACTGAGGCGAGGGCTTGTGGTAAGGAATACATGAGTCCTTAAGTGAAAGTGTTCTGAAATTTTAAATGCTCATATAATACAAAGCCTGTGCCCAAGGCCAGAAATAGCTTCAGGATTACTTCAGGATTTTTGTCTTAGGCTTGGCAATTCCAGATAGTATACACTGGACCCAGATACCCTGAATTTTCTCTGGTAAATATATCTCCTCTACTTGATAGCAAGGAGTCAGGGCCAGGAAAAGTTTGGACCTCAGATGGGATGGGCTGATGTGTGATGGGTGTTTTCACCACAGACCATATTGCTTTACATTTTTCACTTCGGGATCTTTATTCATCAGGGCACACTAGGGACACATCATAGATATTGTCAAGGTAAGCCTACGGAAGGCAGGCATAATACCAGTAAATACTTCACCCTCCTCCAAAGAGCTGCAAGCACTTCCAAGTATGCTTTCAGAGTAGCTGCTTATGAAAGATCAGACCAGTTGCTACTTTTTTTTTTCACATTTTATGGAGCAACAAACTGAAAGATTAAATGACACAGACAAGGTCTGAATAATGAGTAGAGAGAATGGAACAGAACTTCCGGAGGCTTCACTCTCACTGAGTAAGACCCCACTACGACTTCCCTACGAGGTTGAGAGAGTGAGCCCAGCTAAAGCAGCCTGTAAGCTCCCTCTCCCTCAGTCACATTCTCAGGCTACAAATAACATTAACCATAGCCCTGGTTTAAATGCTTCCTGGCCTTCTCCATTTCAGCTGCAAAATTTCCAAAGATCTGTTTGATTTTCAGATCTTACTTTCAAAGTATTTGGAGAAATTTTTAAACATATACAAATGCAACTCTGAAAAAAAAACTCCACATAAGTCTATTGGCTCAATTAGTCTTTAGACAAAGGTAGTATTGTTTAACAGTTAAGAGAATGGAACTTGAAGTCAAATCTCAGCTCTGTCAGTATTTTAGTTGGTATCTTCGGGCAAGTTACACAATCACTCTAAACCCTGTTCTCATAGGCTTCTGTTTCTCTGGAGAACCCTGACTACTGCATGGGTTGTTTCTAGGATGTTAGTTCTGCTTCTCTGGAGAACCATGACTATTATATATTATATATATAATCTCATAAGAGATTTCTTATGAAAATTAGCTCACATGTTTATGGAGGACAAGAAGTCCTACTATCTGCTGTCCGCAAGCTGAAGAACCAGAAAAGCCAGTGGTATAATTCAGCTTGAGGCCAAAGGCCTGAGAAACAGGAGCTTGGATGTCTGAGAGCAGAAGCTGGATGTTCCAGCTCAAGGATAGAGAGCAAGAATTTGGCCTTCCTCTGACTTTTGTTCTATTCAGGCCGTCAATGGATTGGATGATGTCTGCCCCCCACATTGGTTAAGTGTGGATCTTCTTTACTCAGTCCACTGATTCAAATGCTCGTCTCTTCCACCAACACCCTGCAGACACACCCAGAAATAATGTTTTACCAGCTATCTGGGCATCCCTTAACCCAATCAAGCTAACACTTAAAATTAACAATCACACTACACAAGTATTTATTGAGCACATAATATATGTGGGGCCTATTCTATGTTTGAAATAGATTAGGGAAACCTACAACTAACAATAAAATTACTGAATTGCCATTGGCATCAACAACACAATGAATATTTGGTGTGAGGAGGACAGGGGGAGGATTTTTTGAAAAAAAAAATCTAAAGACCTAATTTTAAATTTCATTTCTCTCTACTTGTCATCTACCAATCCTTTAGTCACTCCCACCTAAACCACAAAGATTTTTCATCTGTTTTGTTCTTACTCTTAACTAGGATCATTTCATGATCCATATAGGCATAGGAACAACCTTGACCTCTCTGTATCTTGAACCCCAACTCCAGTGTTTGTAAAAATGTTTACTCCACTTTTGTTATCCCTTATCCCTGCTCACAGATGTTGCCTAAAGAGACTCAAGTTTTTAAGCTATGTGCATATTTATAATCATGTATTAATTCACCACATCTTTCACAAGGGTCTGCAACATCCCAGGCACTATTCTGAGCCCTAAGGATAAAGTGGACAAAACAGACCAACTTTTGCCCATGGAGTAAAAAGAGACAGACAATAAGGCAGTTAAAGTCAAAGATCACTTCAGATGGTATAAAGTCCTAAAAGAAAGATACTCGTGGTGTAGGGAGAGTAATAGGTTTGCAAGTCCTGGAAGACAGGATGTTATGTCAGTCAGGGTGATGGAGGAGGGTCTCTCTGAGGAAGAGGCATTTCGGACAGGTCTGAATGTTGAGAAGGGGCCACCATGTAAAAATGTGGGTGAGAATGTGTAAGACAGAACAGCAGATGCAAAGGCCATGAGCCCCACAAAGGATGACCTTGTGTGACTGAGGAGCAAGCAGAAGGCCAGTGTGGCTGAAAGTGAGTGAGGGGACCGTAATGGGAAATGACATTGGAGGCCCAGGCCAGGGCAGTCCAGGTAGGTATTTTAAGCCTTAGTTAAAAGTTTGAAGTTTATTCTAATTGTTAAGACATCACAAAAAGATTTTAAGTAGGGGAGTAACTTGATATAATTAAATTAAGAGATCATTTTGGCTGGTATGGAATAAAGGAAGACATAGAATGGAGTTGACAATGATGCTTACTTATCATAGTTAGTGTTTTTTCAAAAGTAGACCTTGAATAATGGACTTGGATGCTGGTAATTTATTTGGAAGTGGCCCCAGAAAGCACAAGTCAGGGAGTGGGGAAAGTGAGTCAAGGATGAGAGAAATGCTAATAGAGAGTGCATTAGTGCATTAATAGGCAGGCTACCACCATGGACAACAGGGCTCAATCCCACTTCAGAAGAATCATGTGAAACACATACTCCTGTAGCTTGAGAAAGCCCTCAGGGAAAGCAACAGAGGTGCTTTGACACTTAATGTAAGAAACTCTCACTGTGTATGGGAAATGTCTACCACAGCTTTGGGGGAACTCAGAGGTAGACTGAGCAGAACTGAGGCTGCCCTGAAGAAAAGAAATTCCGCCTTCAGATAGAAGCTTCAGCTCATGCCAGAGAGTTCCTAATGCCTGTTGTTTCTGATGGCTTGCCCAGCCCATTTCAGACTCGCCAGGCCCCACAATCACATAAGCCAATTCCTTGCAATAAATCTCCTACTAATTACATTTCTCTGGTTGAATCCTAACAGGAAGAAAGGGAAGAAGGAAACCACCATACTCGTTATTTTCACAGCACATTGCCTAAACAGTCATTGGAGAACTGGAAAGGCAGAATGGGAACACTAATGTAACAGAGATAATATCTGCGGAAGTAGGAAGCAGCTACTGCCCCTGGGGCTGGACAAAGAAGGGAAAGATGAGGTTTTTAAAATGTAGAAGCTTGAAGGAGGGGACCTACAAAGTTAGGACCCAGACCTCTGAGGGGGTGGCATGGTACTGCTGGTGACAGATTCCCTGAGGGGGCTTGATAAGGCTGCTCTTTTTTCTTTATGTAGGTGCAGTGATTTGTCCATTTTCTTGGAGGGAATGTCCTGGCATGCCCAAGAATATTGGATCCCTACAAACTGTACATATGGGGAAAACCCCTGGATCTTGGAGAGGGTTTTCTCACACCTTCTGACACATGTTTGTCTTACCAGGTCATCCAGAGAACTTGCCATTTTCTGCTCACCAAGTCTAGTTAATTTAATGTGACCAATATAGTGGAGTACTAAACAATGTTCTGTGAATGTAAAAGAAATAATATCCCTTTGGAATATGTTTTATCAAAGAAAGCAGGAAAGTTAACTTAGTCCTGGGACAAGAAATTAAATGTGTTCTGTCATTCTTCCTATGTAAGTAAAAACAGTTTTCATCCTCTTACCTGTTGGGAATTGAAAAGAATGTATTCGCTAAATCAATAACTGCATACCAAGTGCCAGGGGATGTGCTGAACCGATCAGTAAAGATGCCATATCTGCCATAGCAGCTGTGACGAGGAGTGACAAGCATACAGTGAGGGTGCATCAAGTGCACAAATTTTGAAGAGTACTGCTTGATGAGTATTTACATATGTTTACACCCATAAAACCATTACCCAGGTCAAGATATGGAACATTTCCACTACCCTAATCAATGCGCTTTTCCCCTAATGCTGCTGTCCTCAAATAACTACTATTCTGACTTCTATCATTATTGATCAGTTTTGTCTGCTCTTGACCTTCATAAATTGTTGGGGTTTTTTGCTTGACATATGTCTATGAGATTCATCCACGTTGTGCCTGCAGCAGTAGTTCATTTTTTATTGCTATGTGGGATTTCATTGTATGAATAAACTGTAATTGAATTATCCACTCTCCTGCTGATGGACATTTGGATTGTTTCCAGTTTGGCACTATTATTGATAAAACTGCTATAAACATTCTTGCATTCAAACTGTACGTTAGAAACAAATCATGATAGTCCAGTGCTTGGCATTCCATGCTTCCCTGCATGGGGCTGAGCCCATTCCTGTGGCTTTGGAGAAAGCCCTCAGGCAAAGGAGCTGAGGGACTCAGGTGCTGAAGGTAGGCAACTTGTATGGGAGCTATTCACTATGGTTTGAGGTGAACTCAGAAGTCGACCAAGAAAATATAGGGTGGAGCATCAATAGCATCTGCCGGACAACTCCATAGGGATGTTTTGAGCCATAAATAAAGTAATGTATGTGGAGCACAAAGCATGTAGTAATCACTTAATAAAAAGGGGTTGTTGCTGTTGTTAAACTTATAACCCTAGACTTTTAAAGCAGCAGGCCTCAGGTGGGCACAGTAGAGTTACTAAGAGTGAGCCTCCATAACTTATTCCACATTTGCAATCCTATTCCATTATCCTTCTTTAATGCTGTACAGCTTTGATACTCAAATAATAGTATATGAGCCAACAGCTTCGCTTTCTACTTGGACCGTAATAGAAATCCAGGATCTTTGGCTTCACTGAATCAGAATCTGTAGTTTTACAAGTTTCTGGGTGACTTGTATGAATATTGCATCTGGATAAATACAATAAAGATCACACAGAAAGCTTTAAAACTTACTGATACCAGGGCCCCACCTCCAGAGCTTCTAAGTTAATTGGCTTGGGATGTGGCTTGGGCATCTGGATTTTAAAAATGTCTCCATGTGACATTAATATGCGTCAATGTTTGAGAGCCACTGGTTGAAAAGGAAAAGTGGGAAAAAGTCAAAATCCTTAAAATGCCTCTTAATTTCATAGCTAACCTTAATTAAAGAAATAATATTACTCAAGCTGGGAAGAAACCACTATATGGGGTTGCTCAAAACCTTTTCTATTCATTTTGAAAATTTTAAAATGTCAGGGCATTAAAGGGAATTTAATTCTCACAATAGCAGAATACAAGTTAGACTTCCATCCTGCAGCAGGG